>NC_000009.12:33191818-33343333 GCF_000001405.40 Homo sapiens | reverse complement strand
GGTATATTATTATTCTTAAATATACTAATCAATTATTTTTTAAATTTCTCAGTTTTAATTTCTAATATGGTAGATAAAGATAAATACAATTCACATAAAAATGACTCTTTAGGATAGTTTTTGGTAATGTAAATGAGCCCTACAACCAAAAAGTTTGCAAACTGCTGCTAATAATATAGAGAAAGAAGATTGTTGAGGACAGAACCTAGGTCAATAACACATATGAGGCATGTAGCAGAGAAGGAATCTATTAACGAACTAGGCCCCATCTCAGGATCACTGTTCATATCCCAAGTTTTGCACATTCAGGGACTACAACACAGCATTAGAAGTAACTTTAAAAAAAGTCTCAACATATTGGAAATACGAAGGCTTAGTTCAAGAATCCATACAATTCTAAGTAAATCAATCTCTCAAAGTATATTATGTCTGAATTTCTAAAAAACTCTTCTAATAAACTATACAGTAAAGACACTCACTGGCTTGCCAGCATGTCTGGCAGTTTCCACGATGACAAGGTTCTTCACACCTATGAAGGCCACAACGGAGTTTCCTCCCACAAATCAAAGGACACTTGTGCTCCTTATCCTGGGAAAAGAGATTTATATTTGTTCATAAAATGGTCTTCATTTTATATTTTCCATAAATAACAACAAGATTAATAAAAACAAAGCTCTACACATTTATGGATAAAATGATATCTGGAAATACCTTCAAAATAGCCACAGAAGGGAGAGTAGGTGGGGATGAAGATAAAACAAAATTCGTCATGAGGTGATCAATACTGAAACTGGATGTTGTGTATATGGGACTCTCTATACTAGTAGTCTCTCTGCTTCTGCATATATTTGATACATACATATATATTTTTTGAGATGGAGTCTCGCTCTGTCGCCCAGGCTGGAGTGCAGTGGAGCAATCTTGGCTCACTGCAAGTTCCGCCTCCCAGGTTCACACCGTTCTCCTGCCTCAGCCTCCTGAGTAGCTGGGACTACAGGCATCCACCACCATGCCTGGCTAATTTTTTTGTATTTTTAGTAGAGACGAGGTTTCACCGTGTTAGCCAGGATGGTCTCAATCTCCTGACCTCATGATCCGCCCACCTTGGCCTCCCAAAGTGCTGGGGGGTTACAGGCATGAGCCAGTTTGAAATTTTAAAAAAATATATTTTATTTTTACATCGTGTGTGTGTGTGTGTGTGTGTGAGAGAGAGAGACAGAGACAGGGTCTCACTCTGTTGCCCAGGCTGGAGTGTGGTGGTGCGATCTTGGCTCACTGCAACCTCCACCTCCTGGGTTCAAGCAATTCTCCTACCTCAGCCTCCTGAGTAGCTGGGATTACAGGTGCCCACAACAATGTCCAGGTAAGTTTTGTATTTCTAGTAGAGACAGGGTTCACCATGTTGGCCAGGCTGGTCTGGAACTCCTGACCTCAAGTGATCTGCCTGCCTTTGCCTCCCAAAGTGCTGGGATTACAGGCATGAGCCACCGCATCCAGCCTTATTTTTACATTTAAATCTATTTATTTAGAGACCGGGTTATGAAACTGGCTAATTTTTGTATTTTTGGCAGAGATGGGGTTTTACCATGTTGCCAAGGCTGGCCTTGAATTCCTTGGATCAAGCAAGATCCACCCACCTCGGCCTCAAAAAGTGGAATTACAGGTGTGAGCCACAATGCCTGGCTGCAAATTTTTTTATAATAAGAGGAAGTCTTTAAGCCTTCTAACACTAGTTTATAATACTTGCACAATTCATCACTCTTCACTTAAATATATAAATTTAAAAAATAATTATGTATGCTATATACATACATACACACGTACTACCTTGCTATTGGTACTGTGTTACCTTGTTTATGTATATATATATACACTGATACAGTTTGGCTGTGTCTCCACCCAAATCTTATCTTGAATTCCCACATGTTGTAGGAAGGACCTGGTAGGAGTTAACTAAATCATGGTGGGGGAGGTCTTTCCCGTGCTGTTCTCATGATAGTGAATAAGTCTCATGAGATCTAATGGCTTTATAAGGCCGAGTTTCCCTGCACAAGCTCTCTCCCTCTGCCTGCTGCCATCCATGTTAAAATGTGACTTGCTCCTCCTTGCCTCCCACCATGATTGTGAGGCCTCCCCAGCCACTTGGAACTGTAAGTCCATTAAAACTCTTTCTTTTGTAACTTGCCCAGTCTTGGATATGTCTCTATCAGCAGTGTGAAAACAGACTAATACAGTAAACTGGTACCAGCAGAGTGGGGCACTGCTGAAAAGATACCCGAAAATGTGGAAGTGACTTTGGAACTGGGTAACAGGCAGATGTTGGAACAGTCTGGAGGGCTCAGAAGAGGACAGGAGAATGTGGGAAAGTTTGGAACTTCCTAGAGACTTGCTGAATGGCTTTGCCCAAAATGCTGATAATGATATGGACAATAATGTCCAGGCTGAGGTGGTCTCAGATAGAGATGAGGAATTTGTTGGGAACTGGAGCAAAGGTGACTCTTGTTGTTTATCAAAGAGAGTGGCAACATTTTGCCCCTGCCCTAGAGATCTGTGGAACTTTGAACTTGAGAAAGATGATTAAGGGTATCTGGTGGAAGAAATTTCTAAGTAGCGAAGCATTCAAGAGGTGACTTGGGTGCTGTTAAAGGCACTCAGTTTTAAAAGGGAAACAGAGCATAAAAGTTTGGAAAATTTGCAGCCTGACAATGTGAGAGAAAAGAAAATCCTATTTTCTGAGAAGAAAATCAAGCTGGCTGCAGAAATTTGCATAAGTGACAAGGAGCCAAATGTAAAACCCCAAGACAATGGGGAAAATGTCTCCAGAGCACATCAGAGGTCTTCATGGCAGCCCCTTCCATGACAGGCCTGGAGGCTCAGGAGGAAAAAATGGTTTTGTGGGCTGGCCCCAGGGTCCCCCTGCTGCATGCAGCCTCGGGACTTGGTGCCCTGCATCCCAGCCACTCCAGCTGTAGCTGAAAGGGGCCAACACAGAGCTTGGGCCAAGGCTTCAGAGTGCAGGCACCAAACCTTGGCAGCTTCCATGTGGTGCTGAGCCTGCGGGTGCACAGAAATCAATAACTGAGGTTGGAAACGTCTGCCTAGGTTTCAAAAGATGTATGGAAATGCCTGGATGTCCAGGCAGAAGTTTGCTGCAGGGGTGGGGCTCTCATGGAGAACCTCTGCTAGGGCAGTACAGAAGGGAAATGTGGGGTTGCAGCCCCCACACGGAGTCCCTACTAGGGCACCACCTAGTGGAGCTGTGAGAAGAAGGCCACTGTCCTCCAGACCCCAGAATGGGAGATCCACTGACAGCTTGCACTGTGTGCCTGGAAAAGCCACAGACACTCAATGACAGCCTGTGAAAGCAGCTGGGAGGGGGGCTGCACACTGCAAAGCCACATGGGCGGAGCTGTCCAAGACCATGGGAACCCACTTCCTGCATCAGTGTTACCTAGATGTGAGACATGGAGTCAAAGGAGAGCATTTTGTAGCTTTAAGATTTGACTGCCCCACTGAATTTCGGACTTGCATGGGGCCTGTAGCCCCTTTGTTTTGGCCAATTTCTCCCATTTGGAATGGCTGTATATACCCAATGCCTGTACTCCCATTGGACCTAGGAAGTAACTAATTTGCTTTTGAATTTACAGGCTCATAGGCAAAGCGACTTGCCTTGTCTTGGATGAGACTTTGGACTGTAGACTTTTGCGTTAATGCTGAAATGAGTTAAGACTTTGGGGGACAGTTGGAAAGGCATGATTGGTTTTGAAATGTGAGGACATGAAATTTGGGAGGGGCCAGGGGCAGAATGATATAGTTTGGCTGTGTCCCCACCCAAATCTCATCTTGACTTCCCACATGTTGTGGGAGGGACCTGGTGGGAGGTAATTGAATCGTGGGGGCAGGTCTTTCTTGTGCTGTTCTCGTGATAGTGAATAAGTCTCATGAGATCTGATGGCTTTCTAAGGCCATTTCCTGGACAAACTCTCTTTCTCTGCCTGCTGCTATCCATGTGAGAAGTGACTTGCTCTTCCTTGCCTTCCACCATGATTGTGAGGCCTCCCCACCGACTTGGAACTGTAGATCCATTAATCCTCTTTCTTTTGTAACTTCCCTAGTCTTGGGTATGTCTTTACTGACAGTGTGAAAATGGACTAATACATACATACACATTTATATATACATGTTATGTCATATATAGCATACGTTATATTTTTTATATATAAAAGAGTATATGAGATAACAGAGTACAAATAGCCAGCTAGTGATTTAATTAGTTCCATAAAAGCAAATATTTTAAATAAATATTTTATTTTAAAAAATCTTTTTAAAAAATGTCCTAATAATTTTTCCTACTGACCTGACCTAAGCAGTACATGAAACCTGAAGCCCAAGTTGCTAAGTCCAGGCCAGTTTGTGTTGGGACAACACACAATCTTCTGCCGAAGACTGTGTGCTCATCTAGGGGTCTTGGGCTCTGGGGTGTGAGACCTTCTCTTATCTCTTTCTCTTCCTCTGTGTTGCTACCAGATGCCACTGGCTGACTTCTTAACCTGGGTGAGGCTAAAAAGGCCCAGTCTGTCTCTTTGCAGAGAGGTTATGGGGACTATGAGAGCTCTCTGACTGCTGCTTAGGGGCCTGTCCCAGTGACTTTTAAATCCGGGCTGCATTCTCCACATGGCTCAGGCTTCCAGAAGCCCAGCACCTGGATGAATGGAATCTGATTATGCCTAATAAGTCCACTTACCACACAGCATATCTCATTACATTTATGCCGTCCACACAACCGTTTCTTGTTACACCGCTTGTCACACATAAATGTAGCATCTGCTGTGGCAAATTAAAAAGAAAAAAAAAACCAGACAAAGGATATGAACATTCATACAACAAATATTTGAGTAACTATAGGCTCAAAGAATACAATAGTAATAATACAATTGTAATAATGTAAATGCAGTTTTTTTTGTTTTGTTTTGTTTTTTGAGATGGAGTCTTTCTCTGTCGCCCAGGCTGGAGTGCAGTGGTGTGATCTCGGCTCACTGCAACATCCACCTCTCAGGTTCAAGTGATTCTCATGCCTCAGCCTCCCAAGTAGCTGGGCTTACAGGTGCCTGCCACCACACCCAGCTAATTTTTGTATTTTTAGTAGAGGCAGGGTTTCACCATGTTGTCCAAACTGGTCTTTAACTCCTGATCTCAGGTGATCCACCTCCCATGGCCTCCCAAAGTGCTGAGATTACAGGTGTGAGCCAACACGCCTGGCCTTTTTGCTTTCTTTTTTTTTTTCTGAGACAGGGTCTCACTCTGCTGCCCAGGCTGGAGTGCAATGGCGCAATCTTGGCTCACTGCAACCTCCACCTCCCAGGTTCAAGCGATTCTCCTGCCTCAGCCTCCCGAGTAGCTGGGATTACAGGTGTGCGCCACCACGCCCGGCTAATTTTTGTATTTTTAGTAGAGACAGGGTTTCGCCATGTTGGCCAGGCTGGTCTTGAACACCTGACCTCAGGTGATTCACCTGCTTTGACCTCCCAAAGTGCTGGGATTACAGGTGTGAACCACCATGCCCGGCCATCAGTTTTTGTTTTGTTTTGTTTTGTTTTGTTTTAAAGAGACAGGGTCTCTTTCTGTCACCCAGGCTGGAGTGCAGTAGCATTAACATAGCTCACTGTAACCTCGAATTCCTGCACTCAAATGAGCCTCCCATCTTGGCCTTCCAAATGTTGGGATTACAGGTGTAAGCCACTCTGCCCAGCTGAAAATGCATATTAAAATATCAATTTTCACCTTTAAAACTCAAAAAATAAAAAAAATAGCAACGGTAGTGTTTAAGGTGTGGAGGAGAAGCCATGCTCATCTTAGTAGATGGGTGTACAAACTTTTGGAGTCCATGGGGGACTGATTCCAGGACCTCCCTTGGATATCAAAATCCACAGATATTGAAGTCTCTTATACAAAATGGTATAATATTTGCATATAACCTATGCACACCCTCCCTTATACTTCAAATCTTCTCTAGATTACTTATAACACCAAATATAATGTAAATGCTATTAGAAAATGATGAGAAAAAATTTTGTACATGTTCAGTACAGATGTAATTTGTTTCTTTGAATATTTTCAATCTGTGGTTGGTTGAATCCATGGATATGGAACCCATGGATATGGAAGGCTGGCTGAGTGTGTTTCTATCGAAAATTTAAGTGTGGCTAGGGCAGGAGGATTGCTCGAGCCCAGGAATTTGAGACCAGCCTGGCCAACATAATGAGACCCTGTCTCTACAAAAATTTGCTCACTGCAACCTCCGCCTCCTGGGTTCAAGCGATTCTCTTGCCTCAGCCTCCCGAGTAGCTGGGATTACAGGTGCCTGCCACCATGCCGGCTAATTTTTTGTATTTTTAGTAGAGACGGGGTTTCACCTTGTTGGCCAGGCTAGTCTTGAACTCCTGACCTCAAGTGATCCGCCTGCCTTGGCCTCCCAAAGTGCTGGGATTACAGGCGTGAGCTACTGCGCCCAGCCCTGGAAAAACTTTTAAAAATTAAGTTTTTAAAACTTAATTAAAAGTTAATTAAGCAAAGGGCATGGTGGCACATGCCTGTGGTCCCAGCTATTTGGGAGGCTTGTGTGGGAGGACCACTGGAGCCCAGGAGATCAAGGCTGCAGTGAGCTGTGGTCTGCCACTGCACTCCAGTCAAGGTGACAGAGACCCTGTCTTAAACAATAAATAGATTTTAAAACCTAACATTGAGATATCAGAGACATCACATCATGTGGTAGTGATATATCACTTCACTAGGATGGCTATGATTTAAAAAGCCCCAAAAATGGTCGGTGCGGTGGCTCACGCCTGTAATCCCAGCACTTTGAGAGGCTGAGGCAGGCGGATCACGAGGTCAGGAGTTCGAGACCAGCCTGACCAACATGGTAAAACCCCATCTCTACTAAAAATACAAAAATTAGCCGGGCGCGGTGGCGGGCACCTGTAATCCCAGCTACTCGGGAGGCTGAGGCAGGTGAATCACTCGAACCTGGGAGGTGGAGTTTGCAGTGAGCTGAGATAGCGCCACAGCACTCCAGCCTGGGCAACAGAGTGGGACTCCATCTCAAAAAAACAAAAACCAAAAAAACCCAGAAAATAACAAGTATTGGCAAGGATGTGGAGAAAATGAAACCCTCATACACTGATGGTAGGAATATAAAATGGTGTAGCCACTGTGGAAAACAGAATGGCAGTTTTTCAAAAAAATTAAACACAAGATTACCATTGGATCCAGCAATTCTACTCCTAGGTATATACCCCAAAGAAATGAAAATAGGTATTGGAACAAAAACTTGTATACAAATGTTCATAACAGCACTATTCACAATAGCCAAAAAGTAGAAACAATTCTAATATCCATCAACCAGTGAATGGATAAAATGTATATTCATAAAATGAATTATTATTCAATCATAAAAAGGAATGAAGTGCTGATATATACTACAGTATGATAAACTTAGAAAACATGCTAAGTGAAAGAAGCAGGGCACAAAAGAATATATATTGTGACTCCATTTAGATGAAGTATTCGAAAATAGTAAATCCATACAGATAGAAAGCAGATCAGTGGTTACCTGGGGGAGGACTGAGTGGGGAGTAAATGCTTAATTAATACAGGGCTTCCTTTCAGGGTGACGAAAATGTTTTTCCCCAGCACTTTGGGAGGCCAACATGGGAGGATCACTTGAGACCAAGCATTCAAGACCAGCCTGGTCAACAAAGTGAGACCCTGTCTCAACATATTTTTAAAATAAAATTTAAAAAAAGGTTGGGCACGGTGGCTCATGACTGTAATCCCAGCACTTTGGGAGGCTGAGGCAGGCGGATTACATGAGGCCAGGAGTTCGAGACCAGCCTGGGCAACATGGTGAAACCCCGTCTCTACTAAAAATACAAAAAAATTAGCCAGGCATGGTGGTGGGTGCCTGTAATTCCAGCTACTCAGGAGGCTAAGACAGGAGAATTGCTTGAGCCCAGGAGGTGGAGGTTGCAGTAAGCTGAGATTGCGCCACTGCACTCCAGCCTGGGCAACAAGAGCAAAACTCCGTCTCAAAAAAAAAAAAAAAAAAAAGAAAAAGAAAGATAAAATAGAGAAGAAGAAAAAATGTAAGACAGAGAAAATATTTTGGAACTAGATTGTGAAAGAACTAAGTGCCACTGAACTGTACATTTAAAATGGTTAATTATGTTATGTGAATTTCAACTAAAAAAAAAGTGGGCTAACCACTGAAGTATTTATGGGTGAAATGATATTTGAGATTTGTTTTCAAAGTACTTCAGCATAAATAAAATGTAGGGAAGGAGGGATGGATGAAAACGAGAGGTAAAATGTTGACAACTGATGATGACAGGTCATAGGTACGTGGGGATTCATTATACCAGTTTCTCCACTTTCACGTATGGTTGAAATTTTGCATCATAAAGTTATAAAAAGTGGGACAGGACGGTTCCTGCTTATTAATAATGGGGAAAAACTGGAGACAACCTAAATGACCACCAAAAGGGTCATGGTGAACTATGACAAGGCAGATCCACATATGGAATACTCTGCAAGAACAAGAGTTATGCATACTGACATGGAAATACGTCTTTGAGATATTAGTGAGGGAAAATAAGCTGCAGACAGTATCTTTAGTATAAGCCTAAATCTAGGGAAAAACAAAACTATGCTGGCATGTTTATACATCTGTATGAATAGGGAAAAAGATCTGAAACCCTAACTAACAAACTACTATTAGAGGGCAAATTTTCATCTTTCACTTCATATTTTTTTTTAAACTTCATAAGTGTATTAATTTTGTATTTTTTCAAATTATGTTTTTATTATTTTGTTTTATTGTTTTAGAGATAGGGTCTCGCTCTGTCACCAGGATAGAGTGCAATGGCACAATCACAGCTCACTGCAACCTCAAACTCCTGGACTCAAGCAATCCTCTGCCTCAGCCTCCCGAGTATCTAGGACTATGGGCACATGCCACTATGCCTGGCTAACTTTAAAAATTCTTTTGCAAAGACAGTGCCTCACTATGTTGCCCAGGCTGGTCTTGAACTCCTGGCTTTAAGTGATCCCCCAGCCCTGGCCTCCCAAAGCATAAGGATTACAGATGTGAGCCACTGCATCTGGCCCAAATTATGTTTTTCTTGTTTCTTTTTTGATACGGAGTCTCACTCTGTCGCCCAGGCTGGAGAGCAATGGTGTGATCTCAGTTCACTGCAACCTCTGTCTCCTGAGTTCAAGTGATTCTCCTGCCTCAGCCTCCTGAGTAGCTGGGATTACAGGGGTGCGCCACTGTACTTGGCTAATTTTTGTATTTTTAGTAGAGATGGGGTTTCACCATGTTGGCTAGGCTGGCCTTGAACTCCTGACCTCAGGTGATCCGCCCACCTTGGCCTCCCAAAGTGCTGGGATTACAGGCATGAGCCACCAGGCTTGGACCCAAATTATGTTTTTAATAACCAAACTTTTTTTCCTTGATACAGATGGCACACTGAACCAAAAGTTTAAATACGGTTTTGAGGCAGATATTGCTGGGTACCTCCCAAACGGCCACTCTTCTCTTTCAGGCAAAGACAGCCTTAATTTTGTTCAGAAACTGGGAGCCAGTGTGCTCCTCAGTTCCAGGGGTGGATGTTGTGTACCTTTACCCACCATGGTAATTCCATTCACTTTGCTAGTTACAGGTTTAGGCAGAAGAATTGGACACAGTGTACTGAGAACCTTTCAGGACTGTTTTCCTTGCTCTTACATAGGAAGAGAACAACAACACTCTCTTCATGGATTTTGTTTAGATGTTGTTGGGCAGAGACCCAATGTGTGAAGCTGCAGCAGCTAACATACCCACGAGGAGAAAATCAAGAAAACCACAGAGAAGCCAAATTGAAGTCTTCAAAATCACTGAGCTAAAATTAACCAATCTCGGACTTGTTCTGCCTCCAGATATCCTATCAGGTGTGGCAGTAAACACCCTTATCGTAAAAGTCACTTTTTCTTGGGTTTTGTTACCTGCATCCAGAAGCTTCCTAACCAATACAGCTTTCTTTCTGACTACAGTAAGACCTTTTATTTTGCATATCCTTATCTTCCATCACTTTTCCAAAAAGGTTTTAAAATGGCTTCAACAACAGTATGTGTCGGTTATAAAAACAGGAATCGAGGCCGGTGTGGTGACTCATGCCTGTAATCCCAACACTTTGGGAGGCCGAGGCGGGTGGATCACTTGAGGTCAGGAGTTAGAGACCAGCCTGGCCAACACAGTGAAACCCCGTCTCTACCAAAAATACAAAAATCAGCCAGGTGTAGTGGTGGACACCTGTAATCCCAGCTACTTGGGAGGCTGAGGCAGGGGAATCACTTGAACCTGGGAGGTGGAGGTTGCAGTGAGCCGAGATCGCGCCACTGCACTCTGGCCTGCGAAACAGAGCGAGACTCCGTCTCAAAAGGAAAAAGAAAAAAAGTTCAAAGTATTTTACAGTGAACATCCATATGCCCATATCTAGATTCTACCATTAACATATTTTTTCATATACATATCCATTCTTCTACCTACCCACTAATTTTCTTTTTTAATGCATTTCAAAGCAAGCTGTAGACATGAGTGCACTTAGCTTATATTTTTCAGCATTTCATCAATTAGAATTCAATTTATATTTTTTTCCTTTTGAGGTGAAAGTTATACCACAAATCTTAAGTATGCCTTCACTGAATTTTGACAAATACATAACCCAACTCCCTAACAAGATTCAGAGTGACGACACTTTCACCCCAGAAATTCCCTCATGCCCCACCCCAGTCATACCTTCACTTTTGAGACTGGTACATGGAAGCTCCTATGGAAAAAGAAAAAGAAATGGTAACTACTTTAGGAATAACTAAAATAATACAACTATAATATAATGCCATAGGTAACAAGAATATCCCAAATATCCCATACTTCTCTGATAGTCACTTATTCACCAACTTCACTTGCCATGTCTGGAGCGAGCCTAATCCCTATATGAATGAGCTTTACTCACAAGAGGACTCCAGGCTTACAGACTTTTCATGAAAATACAATTCTAACAATTTTTGTGGTCTGGTCTCCAAATTCACAGTAGACTAATAATTACAAAATCTAAATAGAAAGAGGGCTGCTAAAGGCATGCAAAGGAAAGAGAAGTCATCACCAAACAAGGGTACAGACAGAAAAAGCCATAAAAAGCAGATATAAGAATTGAAAACAGATGACAATCTGTACCATTTAATGCAGGGACAAACGGCTCTACACACTTCAGAGCACACCTGATAATATCACAAAACTACAGCAAAGTGAAATAAAGCAGGATCTTTGGTTTGGCCTCTAAAGTTTGGTTTCCACTACATGTGAGTGGTCTAAAAGGTCTATCACGTAATTTTGCTAAGGCATGATCCTAAAAATCGTGTGTAGTGATGATGGTGTGTGGGAAGGAAGTCAGTCACTTGGGGTAGAATGAGTCTGGCTAGCTGCCCGGCTTCTACATCTGATTTTGGCTTTGATGTCATTTACAGGTTGCCATGTACTCAGAAATGAGAAAAATGACTTTAAAAGTCCCCTCTTCGTAAAAATTATCCTGAAAAAAAAAAAAAAAGCAGCTACTGAAGTTGATAACAGATGTGAAGAAGTCTAAGCAATAAAAGGTTCTTGGCTGGAAAATATACATTTCAGATAAAAAATGAGGTGTCTGGGATTGATGATATGAAAAAGTTCCCTATATGCTCTCTACAGATATAAAGCAAAAGTGACTCATGAAACTGAGTTAATGCTCCCATCAGTGAACACTGGATTATATGGAAGAAATGATATGCAGGAGTGGTTATCTACAATTGTCAGGAAAGGCAGAACTCCCATAAATTCCTGCACATGAATTACCATAAAGACTTAAATATAGCATGCTTTATGAAGACATAGACACAGCATACATTTATCAGAATCCCACCAAAGTGATGAAATGAAAACAACCTTTGAAGTTTTAAGAAATGTTTTATTTATCTAGAAAACTCACTTCTGTGGAAAAGCCCATTCCATTACCAAAACCATGTCATGAAAAATCCATATTCATGAAAAATCTAGTTAAACAATGAGGTGATAATTATCAGCTTATTTTTTTTATTTTTTTTTTGAGACAGTCTTGCTCTGTTGCCCTGGCTGGAGCGCAGTGGTGCAATCTCGGTTCACTGCAAGCTCCACTTCCTGGGTTCACACCATTCTCCTGCCTCAGCCTCCCGAGTAGCTGGGACTACAGGCGCCCACCACCGTGCCTGGCTAATTTTTTGTATTTTTAGTAGAGACGGGGTTTCACCATGGTCTCAATCTCCTGACCTCATGATCCGCCCACCTCAGCCTCCCAAAGTGCTGGGATTACAGGCGTGAGCCACCACACCCAGCCAATTATCAGCTTTTTGAAGAGTTTTTTTTTTACTTTGTCAAACAGGTTTAACAGAGTTTGTATTGACAGTGAGCTCCTCCTGCAATTTAAGGACTTCTACTTGCAAAAATTCAACTTACACATAGCTTTTCAAGAATACACTCACTGCCATGGAGTCCACTATTAGAGGGAGTGAGGACAAAGAGTCAATGAGAAGCAAGAAAACGTAGAGATAGAAAGAGGGATTGTGGGAGAATGAAGAAAACTGACAGCAGCCACTTCCAGCTTACATGTCCCAACCCTGCTTACAATTTTCAGTCACACAGATCACAAAGAGCATCTCTGGGCATTACTAAATTTATGATTGCCAAATCACAGCATCTCAGTCTTTAATACAGTATTTACAAAGTACAAAAGTGGTCCCATACCTGACATTCAAAAATGCCTCTGTTATCCTATGTATATTGTAATTTCTTTCAGGAAAAAACCCATATATGATTACACAACTTTTGTAACATGTAAATTATACTACTTTTCCCTTTTTTCTGAAGTTTTCCTATTAAACTAGCTTCCCATTTATGGACTATATCCTCAGAATTATTCGCAAGTCAGATGCTGCCAGACCCTGCATTGTGTTTAACAGAACCAACGGTTCACAATTCTGTCTCCACCCTGGCTTGTACTCTACTGGGACAAATGTTGATATACACTAAAATGACTAAGTAGGTCAAAGAGCAGGATAAATCAACACTCAGTGTGTTCCCCAAGCTGAATCACCCGAAGACTTTTTATAACATAAAGTCTGATGAAAACTATCCAAGGTAGGCTGGGCACAGTGGCTCACGTCTGTAATCCCAGCATTTTGGGAGGCTGAGGCGGGTAGATTACCTGAGGTCAGGAGTTCAAGACCAGCCTGGCCAACATGGTGAAACCCCACCTCTACTAAAAATACAAAAATTAGCCAGGAGTGGTGGTGCACACCTGTAATCCCAGCACTTTGGGAGGCTGAGGCAGGAGGATCACTTGAGGTCAGGAGTTTGAGACCAGCCTGGCCAACATGGCAAAATCCCGTCTCTACTAAAAATACAAAAATTAGCCGGGTGTGATGGCATGCACCTGTAATTCCAGCTACTCCAGAGGCTAAGGCATAAGAATCACTTGAATCTGGGAGGTGGAGGCTGCAGTGAGCCAAGACTGCGCCTCTGCACTCCATCCTGGGTGATGGAGTGAGACTCTGTCTCAAAATAAATAAATAAAATTAAAAAAAAAAAAAGAAAAATAAAAACCATCCAGGCTTTCACCAGAAAGTAGAAACTGACAAAACAGATGTACAGTGAAGAATTAAACCTTACTTAAAGAGAGTCTGGCCTTTGTGCTTGGCTTCTGAGAGGTAATCTCTAAGCCTAGTGGAATGCCATGCCTGATATAAGTGTCATTGTTTGCCTGGAGTCTTGAGTCACTGGATAGTCCAATTACGTGATTTAGGAGCAGGCTGGCCACACTGGATAGTTTTAGGGCAGGGGTTTTGGGTCACATGGTATCGGTACACCTCGGGAGAGACTGGAGACTGAGATTAGCCACATGGGCAGTCAACTATGATTGCACAATAGAGCACCAATAAAAACTGAACACACAGGTCTGGGTGAACTTTCCTGGTTGGCAATATTCCATGTATGCTGGCACACACTGAAGCGGAGAGAGTAATACTTTCCTGACTCCACAGGGAAAGGACAAATGAAGTTCCACCTTTGGTATTTTTTTGGACTCTGTCCTACATACTTCTTCCCTTGGCTGATTTAATCTGTATCCTTTTCCTTGTAATAAAACTGTAACCTCCTTGTAGTAAAGCTCTAACCATGAGTGTAACCACCAGCAAGTTCGGTGAGTCCTTTTATCAAATTATCAAGCCTCGCAGGTGGTCTTAGGGACCACTGAACTTTCAATTGGTATCAAAAGTTGGTGCCACAAGTGGGTGGTCATATGGACTGTGTTTCCTCTAACTTCTTAGTTGGCTGACTCCTTGCAACAGTGCTACTGTTCCCCTTTTCAGACTATCACACCTGTATTTGGTAGAGTGATCTGTATATTTGCCTTATCCCACTATAGGCCTCTGGACCTTGAGTGCCACAACCACTTCCCATACCTAATCTACTGAGGTTATTTTGATTCCTCCCCTCCCATAATCACCATTTTAAAGAAAACATTGATGGCAACAACTCTAGCATTGTTTAGGATTTACCTTTGTTCTGAAAGAGCATCTGCAGGAAATAACTGATGTGCGAGAGCATGGTCCACAGTCTCCTTCATGGCAGAGCTTTTCACAGGTATGAATGAAATCTTTAATAAAAACGAAAAGAGCTGGAAATGAAAACTGCAACTACTCATTTTCATACTCCCAAATTTGCTAGCCACACTGGTCTTCCCCTCCATGCCCTGCAACTCCAGAATCAGAGTTGAGGGAAGTATGCAGTCAATGCTTCTTCCCTATCTTCCCTTCATCTGGCAGACTGGGCCTTTTCTGACAACTTCAGGGCCCAGCTTAGACACTGGAATATGCTTTAAAGTATACGACGATTTGCCTAAGTCAAAAAAAGGCCAAGTGTGGTGGCTCATGCCTATAATTCCAGCACTTTGAGAGGCTGAGGTGGGAGGATCGCTTGACCCCAGGAGCTCGAGATCACCTGGGAACATGGTGAAACCCTGTGTCTACCAAAAAAAAAAAAAGCACAAAAACAAGAAATTAGCCAGGAGTGGTGATGCAGGCCTACAGTCCCAGCTACTCAGGAGTCTGAGGTGGGAAAATCTCCTGAGCATGGGACGTTGAGGCTACAGTGAACTGTGATCGCACCACTGAACTCCAGTCTAGGTGACAGAGCAAGACCCTGTTTCAAAACAAATAACAAAAACACAGAATAAATCTTCTTTTTCCTCAGGCCCCACATCTCCAGTGTAGACTTGAATCTCCCTAAAACTGTAGCCATGGATGACTTTAGTGGAATGCTGTCGACTCTGAAAGTCATCTGGGGATTATAAATAATCAGAAGCCATGATCCACAGTCTGACTGACTAGAGCTCTGTGAATGTCTGGTGGTGCCTGCATCCATGCTGCTAAACTAGGTTTAGGACAAGTCCTGTTTCCAGGACCCTATGGGGATCACCTGGGGTCTCTTATGGCTACTGTTTACATGGTGTACTTTTTCTATTCTTTAACTTTCAGCCTCATTGTATCTTTGACTATAAAGATTGTCTCCATGGCCTGGTGCGGTGGCTCACGCCTGTAATCCCAGCACTTTGGGAGACCGAGGTGGGCAGATCATGAGGTCAGGAGTTTGAGACCAGCCTGACCAACATGGTGAAACCCTGTCTCTACTAAAAATACAAAAAAATTAGCCAGGCGTGGTGGCGCCCACCTGTAATCCCAGCGACTCAGGAGGCTGAGGCAGGAGAATCGCTTGAACCTGGGAGGCGGAGGTTGCAGTGAGCCAAGATCATGCCACTGCACTCCAGCCTGGGCAACAGAGCAAGACTCCATCTCAAGAGAGCATATAGTTGGATCTTGTTTTTTAAATCCAGTCTAAAAAATTTCTGCTTTTGGCTGGGTGCAGTGGCTCATGCCTGTAATCCCAGCACTTTGAGAAGCCAAGGTGGGAGGACTGCTTGAGCCTAGGAGTTCGGGATCAGCCCAGGAAATAGAGTGAGATTCCACCTCTATAAAAAATAAATAAATCAAAACTCAAAAATATCTGCTTTTGCTCAATCCATTCACATTTAATGTTACTGTTATAGCTGGATTTATGTTCGTCTTTTTTAGTTTTCTGTAAGTCTCATGTCTTTTTTGTTATTCTAATACTCCTTTCCTATTTTCATTTGCATTTTGTCAATATTTTTTATAGTGTAATTCCCTTAATTATATTTTTCACTAAATGTTTTGAGTTATTTTCTTAATGGTCCCTCTAGGGCTTACCATATACATCTTATCAGAATCTACTTCAGATTTATACTAACTCCAGTAAGATACAGAAGGTTTACCCTTACACAGCTCTATTCTTCTCCCCTTTTGTGCAGTTATTGTTATACATATCACATCTATATGTTATAAACCCAATACTACTTTGTTAGAACTTTATATAATGTTATATCTATTAAAGAAGCTGAAAAAGATAACAAATATATATATTTATAGCTTTATTAATTTTTGGAGACAGGGTCCCACTCTTGTCACTCAGGCTGGAATGCAGTGGCATGATCATAGCTGACTGCAGTCTTGAACTCTTGGCCTCAAGTGATCCCCCACTTTAGCCTCTTGAGTAGGTGGGACTACAGGCACATACCACCATGTCTGGGTAATTTTACAAATTTCTTTGAGGGATTAAATCTCACTACGTTGCCCAGGCTGGCCTTGAACTCCTAGCCTCAAGTGATCCTTCCACCTCAGCCTCCTGAGTAGCTGGGATTACAGGTGAGAGCTACAGTGCCCAGCTTTTTTTTTTTTTTTTTTTTTTTTAAAGACAGAGGCTTGCTCTGTTGCCCAGGCTGAAGTGCAGTGGCATGATCTTGGCTCACTGCAGCCTCTGCCTCCTGAATTCAAACAATTTTTGTGCCTCAGCCTCCTGAGTAGCTGGGATCACAGGCATATGCCACCACACCACACTAATTTTTGTATTTTTAGTAGAAACGGAGTTTCACCATGTTGGTCAGGCTGGTCTCAAACTCCTGACATCAAGTGATCTGCCCACCTTGGCCTCCCAAAGAGCTGGGATTACAGGTGTGAGTCACTGCGCCTAGCCCCCCTCTTATACAAAATTTACCACTTATGGCTTCCCTCATTTGTTCCTGTAGGTTTGAGTTGTGATCTGGTATCATTTTCTTATTCTAACACAACTTTGATCCCATCTATCTCCTTTATGCTATAATTATCAAATATACTTCTACAGGTTATAGGCCTAAAATATAATTTTATACATATTATTTTATACAGTTGTTTTTTAAATCAGTTGAGAAGAAGAAATATGCATTTATACTGCCTTTTATGATTACATAATCATCTTTACTAGTGCTCTTTGTCTTTTCATGTGGATTTGAAATTCTATTTGGGTTTACTTGCTTATAGCCTGAAGAATTTCTTTTAGTACTTACTGTAAGGCAAGTCTGCCTGCTAGCAATAAATTTTGTTTTTATCTTCATTTTCTAAAGTTAGTTTCATGAGATGTAAGATTCTTGGTTGACAGTTTTCTTTTTTTCTTTTTCTTTTTTTGAGACAGAGTCTCTCTCTGTTGCCCAGGCTGGAGTGCAGTGGCGCAATCTCGGCTCACTGCAAGCTACGCCTCCCGGGTTCATGCCATTCTCCTGCCTCAGCATCCCGAGTAGCTGGGACTACAGGTGCCCGCCACCATGCCCGGCTAATTTTTTGTATTTTTTAGTAGAGACAGGGTTTCACCGTGTTAGCCAGGATGGTCTCAATATCCTGACCTCGTGATCCACCCGCCTCGGCCTCTCAAAGTGCTGGGATTACAGGCGTGAGCCACCGCGCCCGGCCAGTTGCCAGTTTTCTTTCAGCACTTTGAATATGTCATCCTACTGCCTTCTGGTTGTGATGTGTTCTCCATTGTTTCTGATGAGAAGTCCACTGTTAAGCTTACAGAGGTTCCCTTGTATGTGATAAGTCATTTTTCTCTTGCTGCTTTCAAGACTTTCTCCTTATCATTAACTTTTAGCATTTTTATTATATGTCTAGATGTGGATCTCTTTCCTACCTGGAGTTTACTGAGTTTCCTGGATGTGTAGTGTTTTTCAATACATTTGAAAGTTTTTATCTATTATTTCATTAAATATTTTTCCACTTCTTTCTACTCTCCTCCTCATATTCCAATTACATGTACACTGATACAGTTAAAGGTGTCCCACATTTCTGAGGCTTTGTTCATTTCTCTTCATTATATTTTCTCTCTGTCCGTTGGGTTATATAATCTCTTTCTTTTTTTTTTTTTTTGAGATGGAATCTCACTCTGTTGCCCAGGCTGGAGTGCAGTGGCACAATCTCAGCTCACTGCAACCTCCGCCTCCCAGGTTCACACCATTCTCCTGCCTCAGCCTCCCGAGTAGCTGGGACTACAGGTGCCCGCCACCACACCTGGCTAATTTTTTTTTTGTATATAGTAGAGACGGGGTTTCACCATGTTAGCCAGGATGGTCTCGATCTCCTGACCTCGTGATTCGCCTGCCTCAGCCTCCCAAAATGCTGGGATTACAGGCATGAGCCACTGTGCCTGACCAAATCTCTTTCAATCTATTTTCATGTTCACTGATCGTTTCTTCTGCCAGCTCAAATCTACTATTGAGCCCCTTTAATGAAGTTTTCTTCTTCCTTTGAGAAAGGGTCTTGCTTTCTTGCCCACCTGAAGCGCAGTGGCATGATCATGGCTTGCTGCAACCTCAACCTCTTGGACTCAAGCAATCTTCCCACCTCAGCCTCCTGAGTAGCTGGGATCACAGGTGTGTGCCACCATGCCCAGCTAAATTTAATTATTATTATTTTTTTTGAGATGGAGTCTTACTCCCTCGTCCAGGCTGGAGTACAGTGGTGCGATCTCGGCTCACTGCAACCTCCGCCTACTGGGTTCAAGCGATTCTCCTGCCTTAGCCTTCCAAATAGCCAGGATTACAGGCGTGTGCCGCCACACCCAGCTAATTTTTATATTTTTAGTAGAGACGAGATTTCACCATGTTGGCCAGGCTGATCTCAAACTCCTGATCCCAAGTGATCTGCCTGCCTCAGCCTCCCAAAGTGCTGGGATTACAGGCATGAGCCACTGTGCCTGGCCTAAGTTTTTAAAATTTTTTGTAGAGATAGGGTCTCACTACGTGCTCAGGCTGGTCTTGAACTCCTGGGCTTAAGCAATTCTCCTGCCTCCATCTCTCAAAGCACTGAGATTCAGGCATAAGCCACGGTACCCAGCCTAATGAATTTTGCATTTCGGTTATCCTACTTTTAAACTTCAGAATTTCCATTTGGGCCTCTTTTAAAACTAGTTTCTATCTCTTTATCAATATTCTCTATTTGATAAGACATCATCTTCACATCTTTCTTTACCTCTTTAAGTATGGTTTCCCTTCAATTCTTTGAAGATATTTATTTATTTGTTTTTTTTTGTTTGTTTTTTTTTTTGAGATGAAGTCTTGCTCTGTTGCCCAGGCTGTAGTGCAGTGGCGCAATCGCGGCTCACTGCAACCTCTGCCTCCTGGGTTCAAGGGATTCTCCTGCCTCAGCCGCCGGAGCAGCTGGGACCACAGGCGCATACCAACATGCCCAGCTAATTTTTGTATTTTTAGTAGAGATGGGGTTTCACCATGTCGGCCAGGCTGGTCTTGAACTCCTGACCTCGTGATCCTCCTGCCTCAGCCTCCCAAAGTGCTGGGATTACAGGCGTGAGCCACCATGCCTGGCCCAGTTCTTTGAACATATTTATTATGATTATCCTACAGTCTTTGTGAAATCTGACATCTGGTCACTCTCACAAGGCAGTTTCTGTTGCCTGTTTTTTTCCCTGTTTCTTTGCACATTTCATACTTTTTCTTGGAAACTAGACATTTTAGCTATATAGCAACTCTGGATACTGCTTCCCCTCTCCACAGCTTGTTTTTGTTGTGGTTGCTTATTTATTTGTTTTGTGACTTGGCTAGACTATTTCAGTGAAGTCTATTTTCCCTACAGTATGTAGCCGCTGGTGTCACTCTTTGGATGGCACAACCTTAGGGGTACAAACTGACCCTGGAATGACAGTCGTTTCAAGCAGGGCTCTCTTTGTCTTGATTCCCGATCTCTCTGTTAAACTGTGTGCCTTATTTGGATTACGCTCAGTCTCAAGGATCCATTAATTGCAGTTCTATTGTTTTTGACAATGTTCCAGGGCATCAATTGCTCAGCAGTCTGATCCAATTAAATTTGGGAAGGAATAGTCTTTGCTGTAAGTCTTTGAGATTTGTTCTGACCTGAAGAGGGCTCCTCTTAGCTACCTTTCCCTGATTCTCTCTGATGAACTAGATGGCCTACAGTTTAGTTACTGTTCTTTAAGGTATGTTATCATTTTCTAAAGTGTCCTTAGGCCTGTACTTCCCCACACTGTTTCAAATAAAGTCAGTTCCTTTGGAGAGTACCTCGGAGCTCTCTTTTGTTATGAACTGTCTCTCGCCCTGGGAAAGGTCTCTGAGGCACTACTCTGGGTGCTGGGTGGGATAGTAGCCTCTTGCCTTCTTGGCTTGCTTCTCTCAGTGGAACCTCTGCCCTACGAGTGAGCTGGGGTGAGGACGATTAGGGCTCCAGTATTCTGCTGCAAATGGGATGAAGCCTCCATTCTGTAAGTGGGAGCTTGGTGGAGAAAGGGAGCCCTAACTGCTCAGCTGCACTCACCAGAATTTCAGCCTCTTCAACTTGGAGTTGGAGGGGTAGAGAAATGTTGACAATGTGGCCTTCCCAGTGAGATATGGTAAACCTGACTGGGAGCTGAGGGGAGAAGAAGCCCCATCTTCTTGTCCACACTTATCCTGAGTGGAGATCTGTCAAGCTGAGCTGAGGGGAGGAGGAAGGAACTAGCTAGGGCTCAATGCCACAGACTCTTGCTGTTGTTTACCAGAGTTTTAGAAGATTTTGTTGAATAAATATGTCTTCATTTGAGGTATGCTCTTAGGGCAATTTCTAGAGACTTTTTTTTTTTTTTTTCGAGATGGAGTCTCACTCTGTCACCTAGGCTGGAGTGCAGTGGCATGATCTGAGTTCACTGCAACTACTGCCCCCCAGGTTCAAGCAATTCCCCTGCCTCAGCCTCCCGAGTAGCTGGGATTGCAGGCATGTGCCACCATGCCTGGCTAATTTTTGTATTTTTAGTAGAGACGGGGTTTCATCATGTTGGCCAGGCTAGTCCTGAACTCCTGACCTCAAGTGATCTGCCCACCTCAGCATCCCAAAGTGTGGGGGATTACAGATGTGAACCACTGCACCCAGCCTCCAGAAACTTTAAATGGTTGATTTTTTTTTTTTTTTTTGAGACAGGGTCTCACTCTGTCAGCCTAGCTGGAGTGCAGTGCTGCATTCATGGCTCACTGCAGCCTCAACATCCCAGGGTCAAATGATCCTTTTGCCTCAGCCTCCCAAGTAGCTGGGACCACAGGCACGTGCCGCCATACCCAGGTAAATAAAAAATGTTTTTTGGTACATACAGGGTCTTGCCATGTTGCCCAGGCTGGTCTCAAAGTCCTGGACTCAAGCAGTTCTCCCACCTTGGCCTCCCAAAGTGCTGAGATTATAGGTATGAGCCACCATGCCCAGCCTTGATGGTTGCTTTTTTATAGTTTTCCCTAGCTTTGTTTGCTTTACTGGGAAGCAGATCTATGGGAGCTCTTCATGCTACCATCTTTAAAGTAGAACTCTATCCAGTCTCTTATACTGAAGCTGTGTCTCTGGGATGGAAATTTCCTACTGAGTGAGATACAAAAGACCTAAGCGAGCTTTCTATAGATAAGCTAGGTCTGAACAAACCTGACAGTCATTGTTATCGCTAGCCACACGCTTGTCTCTGAGCTTCTCAGTCAACTCAGCCTATTTCCTTAAAGGTTTTCCATGATACCTGCTGAGGTATAGCAGGTACCCTCTTATCCCTTAACCTGGTCTTGTCCCATCCCAAGGTCTGTTACTGCCAGTTACTACCCTTCTCTTGCTCAAGTCCCTTTGCATTACCCATTTCACATTTCCTTCTTCTCTCATCACCAACAGGATACATGAGTGCCAGGGTAGGATTTCTGGTCATTATATGTGAAATTCTTATAAAACTGACTCATGTGCTTTCCGAAAGGGGATTTGATTTACTAGTCATTTGATCTCCATATCATAAACACATTTTCATGGCAAGCAGAGAACCAACAGATGACTGGCTTTCCTAATGCAGCTGGAATGTATATTAAAATACAAGAAGACAGCACTTCTCCTCTATACACAATTTTAAGGTCAGATTGAGAAAAAGGATTAAGTAGGGTGTTCCCACTGATTCACGCTGGCACTTGAAAGAAATGTGAACTCTCTCCTTTTGATGAAATGGAAACCAAACCTAAAGATTCTAGCTTTACCTCACAAGATACATGGTTAGTTTTAGAAATAATTTTCCTATTCAATCTCAGTTGCCTACTTTCCATTTTTTTCTAAATGCATGGCCTTTCAACACCCACTCAGGAGAGAAGTTGCCAAGTCATTGCAAAACTGCAGACATACATTCCCAAAAGACTGAGTCAGATAGGCTCAGTATAGTATTACTTTGTATCTAATTCCAATGAGCTTTTTCTGGTTTCTATATTCAAGTAATCAGAAGCCACAAATCAGAAGAAAGGGGGAATTACTAAAAGTAGACAGGCAAGCATACTAAAAGCACTGATAAGAATATAAACAACAAAAAGCTTCAACAAGCAGATACAACAATTCAAACTGCTCATTGGTATGGGGCATCAGTCTGAGAAACCTCAGCAGGCCAAGGGCACCACTGCATTCAGTGTAATACAGTAACTGGAGTTCATAAAAATGATGACTCTGGGTCAATGAGAGAAAAATTACAACACCTTCAGTAAACTCTGTTTAAACATGAAATGTAAATTTTAGAAAAATATTCATCCAGCCGGGCATGGTGGCTCACACCTATAATCCCAGCACTTTGGGAGGCCAAGGCGGGCAGATCACCCAAGGTCAGGAGTTCAAGACCAGCTTGGCCAACATGGTGAAACCCCGTCTCTACAAAAATACAAAAAAAAATTAGCTGGGCATGATTGCAGGTGCCTGTAATCCCAGCTACTCGGGAGGCCAAGGCAGGAGAATTGCTTGAACCCAGGAGGTAGAGGTTGCAGTGAGCCAAAATCACGCCACTGCACTCTAGCCTGGGCAACAGAGCGAGACTCTGTCTCAAAAAAAAAAAAAAGAAAAGAAAAGAAAAGAAAAATATTCATCCAAAATGATGTTCAATAGGTGCTATCCTCGTATCCTCAGCTAGATGGGAAACTTAGCTACAGAGGCTGACATTCCTTGAATGATCTAAATGGCTGAGGTTCTATTGTACTTACAATTTTAGTTCTTTGGCCAGGTACAGTGGCTTACACCTGTAATCCCAGCACTTTGGGAACCCAAGGCGGGTGGATCACTTGGTGCCAGGAGTTCGAGACCAGCCTGGTCAACATGGTGAAACCCCGTCTCTATTAAAAATACAAAAATTAGCCGGGCGTGGTGGTGTGCGCCTGTAGTCCCAGCTACTTGGGAGGCTGAGACACAAGAATCATTTGAGCCCAGGAGTCAGAGGCTGCAGTGAGCTGAGATCCTACCACTGCACTCGAGCTGGGGCGACAGAGCGAGACTCTGTCTCCAAACCAGACTCTGTCTCACCCACAATTATTTTAGCATGTTCCTATTATGTGAAAAGGGTTTTCAACACTTGCTGAACCCTGGATTGGTATAAATACATATAGTGTTCATTACAGTACAGGCTCCTAAGAGAAATCATAACCCCTATGGAACAGTAACTCACCACAGTTGTCCAGAGTTAACAATAAAATACCTGAATCAGAGAGATCATTTGGGCAAATGTATGGGTTTTCACAAGTATATGTTGAGGAGGAAAGAAAACGTACCTACATAAATATGATCATAATATTTAGAAACCTCTGATATTGTAACTAGCACTTACTTCTACATTGCTTAAACACTCACTGCTGCCAACCATTTACAATAATATTTTTAAAGCCAACTTTACGCTTACTAGTTACCTAAGGAACCACAAGGCAGAGGCTTGCCGCACACTTTTCCACATGAAGGCACAGGGTCCATGCATGTTTTCCGACTACTACTTCCAAGTTCTAGCAATTGGCTGAGAGGAGTTTGGCCACAGGGGCAACAGCGCACCAGCTGGGGGAGCCGTGGGCATTGCTGGCAGGGCTGAGGGTGGCACACTTGCGAACATGTATGGTTACCGCATTTCAAGTCCCTGTTAAGAAAACACACTATTACATAATTGTTGCATAAAGTGCAGCTTTAGTTCAACTGAAGAAAACGTAAAACCTTACTTGCCACATATCTTTAAACAGCTGAAATCCCCAAATCCATCAGACTTTCCTACATCGGTTCCACATAACACATCTCGGGAGGTGCTGCCGCAATAGCATACTTGAAGAGAAAATTTCAAAAACAAAACGTTAGTAACATGTATGGGTTCTTAAAATGTCACAAATAATCTATAAGAAAATACAAAATGCGGGCCTGGCACAGTCGCTCATGCCTGTAATCTGGGAGGCCAAATAGAGTACTGATCAGACCTATGCAGAAATGAGTATAGTTCATACAGCAGCTCTAAGACCCGCCTAAGAGCTTTACCATAGGAAGAAATTAAAAAAGCCTTGTTAAACTATTAATATCTCATAGTGCCTCTGCAGCACATTCCAAGAACAGCATCAGAGTGAAGCAACCTCTAAATTAAGAGAACACTATCTGGTCCATAAGGCCGTGGCTGAACACCATTCACTGTGAGGCTCCTGCGGGTCCTCTGGTGATGTTACAGGAGATAGACAAGCTAAGCTGGTAGTAGTGGTGGAGGAGTTGACATCTGGATTTCCCATCCTCACTTCAACCCAAGAAGCACAGGTTTCATACTTTATGTCAGGTTTTACATAAAACACTTGTAAAAAGGTCCCCGTTGCCAAAAAGAAATTTAAAAATTGGCATGAGAGTATAAGATCTAATGATCAGAATAAATGCAGTATTATAAAAACATCACATTTTTAAAATCACATATACAATAAAAATAAAATAGAAACCTTCTAATAAGGTATTAAAAATAATACTCATAAAATAAAATCGTACATTAAACAGAACCAAAAGGTTTCACTATAATGAAGATTTTTTTTTTTTTTTTTTTTTTTTTTTTGAGACAGAGTCTCACTCTTGCCCAGGCTGGAGTGCAATGGCATGATCTTGGCTCACTGCAACCTCCACCTCCCCGGTTCATGCAATTCTCTTGCCTCAGCCTCCCAAGTAGCTGGGATTATAGGGGCCCGCCACCACGCCCAGCTAATTTCTGTATTTTTAGGAGAGATGGAGTTTCACCACGTTGGCCAGGCTGGTCTTGAACTCCTGAGCTCAGGTGATCCACCTGCCTCAGCTTCCCAAAGGGCTGGGACTACAGGCGTGAGCCACCACGCCCGGCCATAATTAAGACTCTAGATTTTTTTTTTTTTAAAGACAGGATCTCACTTTGTTGCCCAGCTGGAGTACAGTGGTGTGAACACAGCTTACTGCGGCCTCGACCTCCCAAAGTGCTGGGATTACAGGTGTGAGCCACTGTGCCTGCCTTGATTTTTTTTTTTTAATTAGCTGAATTTAAGATTCAAGGACTCTTTATTTTTAAAATACACATTTCATCTTCCAGTAAGTGCATGTGCAATTTCTTTTCTTTTCTTTCTTTCTTTTTTTTTTTTTTTTGGAGACAGGGCCTCACTTTGTCACCCAGGCTGGAGTGCAGTCATGTGAACACAGCTCACTGCAGCCTCAAACTCCCGGGCTCAAGCAATGTTCTCACTTCAGCCCCTCAAGTAGCTGGGAGTACAGGTGCGTGCCACTACACCTGGCTAGCTTTTGTATTTTTTGTAGAGATGGGGTTTTGCCATGTTGCCCAAGCTGGTCTCAAACTCCTGGGCTCAAGTGATCAGCCCATCCTGGCCTCCTAAAGTGCTGGGATTACAGGTGTGAGCCACTACACCCGGCCTATATGCAATTTTTTCCCCCGTTCTAAAACTCATTTGTTCATTTAATAAAGACTGATTTGATAAATTAATAAAGATTCAGAAAACACAATAAATATTTGTAGAATCAATGAACTGGTAAAGAAACCCTGGAAACTGGAAGCTTTTGCTAGTAGGCTTTTCTTTGCTAAGTTTCTGCTCAAACAGAACAAAGGCTTTTTACAGAGGTAATGAATAGAAAGCTGTGAGCAAAAGAATCAAGGGTCAGAACAGGTAACAATAAAAAAATTGAGTTCCTGATGAAAAAATCTGAGTAAATACTAAAAAGCTCTCCTAGGCACGAGAGACAGAAATATGAGCAGGTGACAGAAGAATTAGGTAGAGTCACAGCTGGTTAAATAATATTAAGGAACCAAAGGACCCTGTTGCCAGCCTTAACCCATTTAGTATTTTATCAACATATGAATAAAGACCCAAAAAGAATGCTTATTAATCTCTAGATAAGGCTGAAAGGGATCCTAGAAGATTATAATTCAAGAAGATAAACTATTTACATGGCCAAAATATTCTGCTAGATAACTAATGTGGAAAAACAAAAAGTCTTCAAAACTGGGTTTGAAAAATCAACTAAACAGAAACAAGGAGGAAGAGACTGGGATCCACAGAAATTTGTACAAAAAAGACTTGGGTGATTTAGCTGAGTAAAAGCCCAATATGAATCAAGAGCTAAAAACAGCTGAAGCCAGGCATGGTGGTGTGCATCTGTAGTGCCAGCTACTTGGGAGGCTGAGGCAGGAGAATCTGCACTCTGGCCTGGATGACAGAACGAGATCCAAAAAAAAAAAAAAGGCTTGGTAAGTACCAGGATAGAGAGCTTTTCTGCACTTCCTGTTAATTACAGATCCATATGACATAATGGATAATCAAACTGGGCACAGGCAACTCTTCATTCTCTTGAAGAGACTATTAAAAACAGGGGCTGGAACATATTATCCCATTTTCAGCCTGGGATAAAACTGGAGGGAGCACCCACAGGCAGGGTCAGGATTCACAATAGGTGATGGAAGCCTTGAAGTTCTATTCCACAGAGAACAGACCAGAAATTTTAGTCTGGAAAATAATCAGGACACATTTAATCAGTCCTCCGTCTCAGTGAAAAATCTCAAGAATGTACTCAAAGAACACCGAGTTTCGAACAATACTGGTTTTCGTGGATCCCACAAAAAGACTGGCATTGTTGTGAACAATCTGGCCACTTTTTTTTTTTTGAGACAGAGGTGGGTACTGTCACCTAGGCTGGAGTGCGGTAGCATGATCTCAGCTCACTGCAACCTCCGCCTCCTGGGCTCAAGCCATCCTTCCACCTCAGCCTCCCAAGTAGCTAGGACTACAGATACATGCCACCATGTCTGGCTAATTTTTTTTTTTTGTTGTTGTTAGAGACTGGTTTTCGCCATGTTGCCCAGGCTGGTCTCAAACTCCTAGGCTCAAGTGATCCACCTGCCCTGGCCTCCCAGAGTGCATGAGCTACCGTGCCCAGGCCAATCTAGCCACTTTTAAGAGGATGTGTGGTCTCTGAGCATGTTTCACAGGGAAGAAATGAAGCAATCACAGCTGTTAGGCCTGAAAGGAAACGCTGGGGAAAGAATATATGACAGCTGATTTTGAACAACCCAGGAGGAACATAAAATGTAGAGAAAGGCAGACGAAGGAGAGAGTATATTTCAGGGAAGCAGATTTTGGCTCAATAAAAGAAAAAACTGGGACGATTAGAGTTGTATCATGACTAAACAGCCTACCTAAAAATACAGTGAGCTTTCAGGCTGTTTAATCAGCGACTGGGTAACTGACAATATTCACTCTGGAGAGCAAAAAGGGGATAATTGCATTGCACTAAGAGAAAATAAAACTAGATTCCTTTTTTTTTTTTTTTTGAGACAGAGTTCCGCTCTTGTTGCCCAGGCTGGAGTGCAATGGCACGATCTTAGCTCACTGCAACCTCCGCCTCCCAGGTTCAAGCGATTCTCCTGCCTCAGCCTCCAAGTACCTGGGATTACCGGCGCCCGCCAACACGCCCCAACTATAAAATTAGATTCTTCTGTTCCATTTCTAGATTGCAGTAATGGAGAGGAAGAGAAAAACTGAAAACATCAAAAACATAAACTTATATTCACAATTAAAAAATTTTTTTCTATTCATGTAGATACTTTCTACTTTTTTTCCCATTGATGTACAGCTAGCATATAATAAACACAAATATTTTACATATTCAGTTTTGATTGGTTTCGGATATCTTTTGGTAATTGTATACATCTGTGTGACCACCACCCAAAACAAGATATCAAACATTTCTATCAACCCAGAAAATTTGTGTCCCTTCCCCCAATTTCCACCACTAGGCAACCATTTTCTAATTTTTATTATGAAAAATTAGTTTTATATGTTCTTAGATTTCACATATGTTCATTTTATTATTATTATTTTAGACTGAGCCTCATTCTGTCATCCAGGCTAGAGTGCAGTGGCACCATCTCTGCTCACTGCAACCTCCGCCTCCCGGGTTCAAGTGATTCTCTTGATTCAGCCTCCCGAATAGCTGGGATTACAGGCGCCCACCACCACGCCCAGTTAATTTTTGTATTTTTAGTAGAGACAGGGTTTCACCATGCTGGCCAGGCTGGTCTCAATCTGCTGACCTCGAGTGATCCACCGGCCTCACCCTCTCAAAGTGCTGGGATTACAGGCATGAGCCACTATGCCCGGCCAGTTCATTTTTAAAAAGATTATTTTGGTCTTTCTAGGTCCATAATAATCTGGTCCTTTTCAAGCAGTTACTTTTAAACAGCATTTTAAAATCTACTATTTAAATTAGATAGGCCAGGCACTGTGGCTCACGCCTGTAATCCCAGCACTTTGGGAGGCCCAGGCAGGCATTATCACTTGAGGTCAGGAGTTCAAGACCAGCCTGGCCAACATTGTGAAACCCTATCTCTACTAAAAACACAAAAATTAGCAAGGCGTGATAGCAGGCACCTGTAATCCCAGCTACTCGGGAGGCTGAGACAGGAGAATTGCTTGAACTTGGGAGGTGGAGGTTGCAGTGAGCTAGGATCACGCCACTGCACTCCAGCCTGGGCGGCAGAGTGAGACTTATCTCAAAAAGAAAAAAAAAATTATATAGGACAATGACCTATACTGGTATGCAGGTAAAATAATAAAAACCGTCTAAGCATCGTATCTCCAGTTCTCTCTACTCAAGGTCTTTGTGACTAAAAGTCTGACACCAATCAAAGTTTATCAAGACAATCATTAATAAGGTTCCAGAAAAGAACACAAGCATTGCTAGCTGGTGTGCCCACCACTTACCCTGGTTCAAAATGATCTGGCAAGGCTGGCACTGACCCCCATGGCACAGCTCAGCACACTGGTGCTGACCACAGTTCAAAATATTCTCACATGGGTTAGAACAGTGGACTGAGACAGCCTGACCACAGCGAACTGTGTGCCTGTAAAGACAATAGATGTAAAGACAGCATCAGTGTAAAAGTTCCTGTTGGACAACCAAACTAACACTGCGGCCCCTAACTCTCCCCTCAAAACCCACTAAGCCTTTCTCTAACTTCATTTCCCTCACTTTTTCCTATGTCTCCCTCCTCCAATTCTTATTTTCTCAATTACTCTCCCTTTCTCCACTCTTTTTCTTCTTCTGTTTTTGTTTTTGTTTTTTTTTTTAAATAGAGACAGGGTCTCACTATATTGCCCAGACTAATCTTAAACTCCTAGGCTTAAGCGATCCTCCTGCCTCAGGCTCCCAAAGTGTTGGGATTACAGGCTTGAGCCACCACGCCCGGCCCACTCTTTCTTCTTTCTCCTCCTTTTTCTTTTTCTTTTCCATCCTGTCTTTCTTTCCTATTTTCTGAGTGGTGAGGAACTGAAGGCTATTCCTGAGTATTTGCTTTATGTGATTTCATCTCTGAGTTCCATGAAGCAGCATGCGTAAGGAGAAAGAATGCTGGGGTGAGGAGTTAGAAGATCTGGGTTCTGGTCCTAGCTCTGCCTGGAGCTTCCACAGTACTTTACAGACGGGAGGACAGCTATCATGTACCCAGATCTGACACACTCAGACTAACAGCACAATGGCATTATCCTGAGACCCAGCACTTAGAACATACTATATGTGACTTTGCTTCAGGGTAGGGAAATAAGCTAATTCTAGTTTTGTTCTAATAAACATCCTGATTTTGCTGAGAGAAGGATATAAGAAAGTCCTTTTTTGTTGTTGTTTATTTGAGACAGAGTCTTGCTCTGTTGCCCAGGCTGGAGTGCAGTGGAGCCATCTCGGCTCACTGCAACCTCCACCTCCTGGTTTCAAGCGATTCTCCTACCTCAACCTCCCCAGTAGCTGGGGCTACAGGCACGTGTCACCACACCCAGCCAATTTTTGTATTTTTAGTAGAGACGGGGTTTCACCATGTTGGCCCACCTGGTCTCGAACTCTTAACCTCAAGTGATCCACCCACCTCGGCCTCCCGAAATGCTGGGATTACAGGCGTGGGCCACTGCGCCCAGCCGCAAAAAGTACTTTTAGACAATTGTCTTCAAGTCTCTTTCTAGGGTAATGGTTAAGCACTTGGAGTCTACTCTCCTGCAAGAAGAGTTTTATTTCATCCCTGACTCTCATCTCAACTCCATATTTTGTTTTTAAAAGTCACTGTTATGTACATAAATGATCAGCTTGCAGTACTTGACATAATGGCTAACACTAGCCTATTATGCTGCCATTCTGCCTAGCACCATGGCTAACAGTAACCCCTTGAAGTAGACACTATTATTTCTACTTTATAAGAAAAATGAGGTTCAGTGAGACCAAGCAACTTGCCCAGAATCAACAACCAGTAAGTGACAGAACCAGGATCTGACCTTTCTGAGTCAAAACACTTACATGTAATCTCAGGCCACATGGCTGTCCACATAAGTTCAGTAAAGGCTAAACAAACGCACCTCACCGAAAATCTGCATGATTCATCTCATCCTGTGGTTCAAAAATCATTTTAAGATCTTACTGGGCCTCAGAGACACTCCACAGCTATCAGTAATCCTTGTACTAATGATGTAGGAGACCTTGTATTATAATGGAACAAGGGTGGGCTCTGGAGTCACCTATTCTTTCATTCAACAATATTCATTAAAAGACTCTTAGATGCCAGATACTGTGCTAGGCACAGGAAACTGGTCCCAGCCTCCTTAGGCCTGGGTTCAACTCCTGGTTCTGTCACCCACTTAGAGAGGTTAAAAAAAAAATCCTTGCCGACCGAGCGCGGTAGCTCATGCCTGTAATCCCAACACTTTGGGAGGCCGAGGCGGGTGGATCACGAAGTCAATAGTTCAAGACCAGCCTGGCCAAGATGGTGAAATCCCATCTCTACTAAAAATACAAAAACTAGCCAGGTGCGGTGGCAGGCGCCTGTAATCCCAGCTACTTGGGAGGCTGAGGCAGGAGAATTGCTTGAACCCAGGCAGCAGAGGTTGCAGTGAGCCGAGATCGCACCACTGCACTCCAGCATGGGTGACAGACCGAGACTCCGTCTCAAAAAAAAAAAAATCCTTGTCACTTTGGTATTTTACCCGAAATAATGGGTAGTCTCACAATCTCATTGTGCATATAACTTCTTAATCACTTATAAGATTACAAAATAGGGTCATGGGCAGCACAGGGAACTACTAGTTACAGAAAAGTACTATCCATGGCACATTTGGTCTCTCAAGTTGCCCACTTGGCTCTCTTCCAAGTTGTACTTTCCTTCTGTCCTTTCCTTCCTGTTCTAAAGCTTTTTAATAAACTTTCACTCCTGAAAAAAAAAAAGTACTATTCATGCCTACCATTTATTTGTATCTACCTACTATTCTTTTATTTCAGAAATTCACAAGTCAATCATGCATGTGAAAACTGAGGTCTTCTTTAGGGTGTAATTTTAACTTTACCTGGTTCGTCCACATTCACATGTTTTTGTCATAAAGGCAGGGCAGGGTGGGCAGGGTCCTGGATGGCAGAGACTGAAAGAGAAAGGTTTCACTGAATAAACCACAGCCATGTATCCAAACCCGAACAAAGCTGTCCCAGCTGGGTCTTATTGTGAATATGGCAACAAATACATCTACTATGACATGTCTTTGTATTTGTTTAAAGTTGATTAAACTATTTGAACAAAGATATCAACTGTACTTTTATGTGCAAAAAATCGACATCATTATCACCACAGACTATTTAACCACAGAAGTAAATCCCAAGTCAAAATACTGGTTATATTTGGGTCTGAGAGTCAAAGATGACATTTTCAAATACAGTCTTGGCCCACTTACAGCAGTGTGTGGGGATAAAAATAGTTTGCTACTCAGGTAAAAGGCAGAATGGCTAATAGGGTCCTGTAGAAGATCAGAGTCTAAGCAAAGTAATAGAACTCAAATCTACCTGGTCCGTAAGAAGTACAGACATACTATCAGCTAGTGAAGTAATAATCAGGCACTGGGCAAACAATGGAACAGTGAAAAGAAGGCTGACATGAGGGGAGGCATGCTAGTGAGTAACATGGAGAGAATGAAAGGGAAGGGGGTCATGGAAAGAACTGGGCTGAGTGATATGCTATAGGTCAGAATTAGCCCTCTGAAAAATGCTATTTTAGGAGCTATATTATAGAGACCAATAGAAAAAAGTTACAATACGGAATTTGTATATTCAAATATATACTGCCCTCTTCAAAGCAGACACTTTGGCAAATTACACAGTGGTACAGAAATACCACTACTTAAAACATTTTGGGAACTTCTACGACAACTGTTTTTGGAGTAGGAGGGGTATATTCTAGGTGGCAAATTACAACCCTTTGGGAATCAAAAGCCAATCAGAGCCAAGACTAATTAATCAGATGGGTAACAGAATTTGCTGTAAAACATTAGTGTGCTTATAAAGTGGTCTGGCTGGAATGTTTAGTTTCTATGAAACTCCTAAACAAGCTCTGATAATTCTTAAATAAAGTTTAAACATTGAAAACAATCCAGGAACAAGTGTCTAGTCTTCTAAGATGACTCATTTTGATAGACAATACCCATAGGAGACATAAGTTTAAGCATGTTTCTTTAAAGATGAGTATCATTATTCAACAGTTATATTTTATATATACCTCAATCCTTTCGGGTGAAACAATTTTCATTGCTTGTCAGGTGTGGGTGATTCTAGGTTATGTCAAATATCTCAGAAGCCTGGACTCAATCTCCTCAATCTCAGGTTTTCTTAACTTTTAGACCAGAGGTCCACAACACTGGCTATATATTGGAAGTGCCTGGAGAGCTTTTAAAAATATTGATGTTCACACCAGGCATGGTGGCTCATGCCTGTACTCTCAGCACTTTGGGAGGCTGAGGTGGGAGGATCGCTTGAGCCCAGGAGTTCAAGGGTGCAGTGAGCTACGATAGCACCACTGCACTCAAGCCTGGGCAACAGAGCGAGACCCTGTCTCTGTCACTTTTGAGTCCTAACAAGTGTAAATGAGAGAAAGCAAAGCTTTCTTGGAGACCAGAAAAGTGCTACTGGGGAATGGGCTTCTATGGTCCTGAAAGTAAAAGAAAGTTCCCAAGTCAAGTGTGAAAGCTCCAGAGCCACAAAAGAGCAGGAGCAGGTTTTAAGGTGTTCTTTTCTTTCAGACATGGTGCTGATCACTTGATCTGCAACAGTTTTAATCTCTGGTAGTCATGAAGGGTTTGGAAAAATAGTCCATGCAGAGGATTAAGTTTTTTTTTTTTTTCTCTGAGACGGAGTCTTGCTCTGTAGCCCAGGCTGGAGTGCAGTGGCATGATCTCGGCTCACTGCAACCTCCGCCTCCCGGGTTCACGCCATTCTCCTGCATCAGCCTCTCCAGTAGGTGGGACTACAGGTGCCCACCACCACACCCGGCTAATTTTTTATATTTTTAGTAGAGACAGGGTTGCACCGTCTTAGCCAGGATGGTCTCGATCTCCTGGCCTCGTGATCCACCCGCCTTGGCCTCCCAAAGTGCTGGGATTACAGGCATGAGCCACCGCGCCCAGCCAGGATTAACTTCTTATTACTGAATTTACTGAAAATGACAACTAATGGCAAGAATAGCTTAACTCCTTCCTAAGGAAGGACCTATGCGAGCAGTCAAAGGGAATGAGGTATCTGACTGCCCAGCAGATCACAGGCCATGCTGTCTAGCCCAGTTTAAAACAGCTCTACCCCCACTGACATTTCCCCAGCGCCACCACCATGCCTTGATCACAAGGCCCTGGTCCAATATTATCCCTCCTCCAAGCAGTAGAAATACCAAGATAACACTCTGATGTCTGGTTTACTCTTAGATTTGGGTAGTAAAAGTAAGAATTGTCATTTTTTGATCACTTGCCAGAAAGACTCTATATCGAGCCGCATAGATGCACTAATTCATTTAATTTTCATAGAACCCTATAAGTGTTATTATTACTATCATTATTATTTTACAGATGCAGGCTTAGATAAATTAATAACTTGTCCAAGGTTACATAACTATTTAAGTAACTTGAACCTAAGATTTAAACCTTTGTCTGAGGTTAAGGCCTGTAGAAATTTATTTGTAACTGATCAACTGTTTTTCTATTACTGTGCATTTTTTGGTATTTAGAAGCTGACTGCATACAGTCTACTTATTTATTTATTTATTATTTTTAGAGACATGGTCTTGCTTTGTTGCCCAGGCTGGAGTGCAATAGTGCAATCACAGCTCACTGCAGCCGTGAACTCCTGGACTCAAATGATCCTCCTTGCTCAGCCTCCCAAGTAGCTGGGACTACAGGTGTGTGCCACCACAGCTGGCTAATTTTAAATTTTTTTGTAGAGACGGGGTCTCATTTTGTTGCCTAGTCTGGTCTAGAACTCCTGGCCTCAAGCAATCCTCCTGCCTTGGCTTCCCAACGTGTTGGGATTATAGGCATGAGCCACCGTGTCTGGCTTATGGATATAATCTACAGCTGGCTATTTATTGTAGGGAAAAGACTGACATCCTATGGCTGGGTGTGGTGGCTCACACCAGTAATCCTGGCATGTTGGGAGGCTGAGGAGAGCAGATTGCTTGAGCCCAGGAGTTCGAGACCAACCTGGGCAACACGGCAAAACCCCATTTCTACCAAAACATACAAAAATTAGCCAGGCGTGGTGGCACACGCCTGTAGTCCCAGCTACTCAGGAGGATGAGGTGGGAGGATGGCTTGAGCACAAGAGGCGGCGGTTGCAGTGAGCTGTGATCACACCACCACACTCACACTCCAGCCTGGGTGACAAAGCGAGACCCTGTCTCAAAAAAAAAAAAAAAAAAAAAGAAAGAAAGAAAGAAAAAGATTGACATCTTGACATCTTGGAAATACTGTCCGACCGGGACCCTAAACAATTGTCTTTCCCCAGACAGAAGGTTCTCCCATACATTCTCTTGGACCTGGATATCAATGCGGGATAAAACATATGAGTCACATTTCTTCTTAGAAGCAAGCAGTGTAATGTAATGGAAGCAGCACTGGCTTTGGAAACCCTAGCTCCACCATCCACGCCCTGCCACTGTGATGCTGGGCAAGAGGCTTGGCCTTTCTGAGCCTCATCTGTAAAGCAGAGATGGTAAATATCTATTACTGGGCTGTGGTAAGGATTCAACAAGTTAACTGATGTAGAGTGCCTGGCACAGGGTGATTTGAGACCATTTACTGAGGTCCCATATCACCCTTCATCCCAAACCATTACATGCTAACCAGGTATGTTTACTTAGAGCCACCAGCAAAGCATGTCCACCAGCAATCCCAACGGAATTAGCATTCCAACTTACAGGTTACAGGAATGTGGGCAGTCCTGGCCAGGCTGTTTCTTTCTACAAACCTCACCACAGCTATGTGGAATTTCATTTCTGCTCCACTCAGGATTCTTTACCTTGCCTAGAACATATCAGATCAGAGAGTCAATGGTACAAACTTCAACCACATTCTCAACTTTAATGAAACAGTAAAGTATAGCTAGGCAGCATGCAACTTTAGTGTGGTTTTTATTATTTCAACAAATGTATTATCCCATATCTTAAAATAAAAAGATAAATATAATGCTATTCATAAAAAGTTTCACTGAGTATGATAAATCTTAAATCTTGGATTACCTGGGAAAGATAAATAAAAAGTCACTTTTACTTACGAAAATACTATCTTGACTAATGGAAACGTTTAATTTAAGATAAATACCTATAAGACAAGTCGTCTATAACTGGACTTCTGAACTGATATGCGAATTGCTGCTGGAAGGATCAGAGAGAGGGAATAAGAGAAGAGCACCGTGGGGAAAGGGGGGAGGCAGTAAGAAATGGAAAGGACATAAATCCCGAGTAGCAGGAACTCACCTATTCCAGAACTATAAAGTCGGCATAAAAGACCTTATACTTTTATAATCAATGTCACTGCAAATCTTCATGGCACATCTTCCATGGACTCAGCAGAGACAGGGAAGAGTAAAACGAAGGCACAGGATTCCTCCTTGCCCTTGAGGAATTCATCCTCACTTGGGCAATTTGCACACTAAATTGCAGCCATCCCCAGTCCATGGCCTCTGCTTTTCTCTCTATACTATCTCTTTCAGAAATTTTATTCATGTTGAGAGGTGCAATCCACCTAAAGGCCATTGATCCCCAAATCCACATTTTCTCTCTTGCCCTGAATCTTCAGTTTCAGACCCATATGTCCAAATGTCTGCTGAACATTCTTGCTTGGGGTTTCACAGTCACCTCAAACTGGCTTTATCCACAGTCAAAGTTCACATCTTCCCTCTATAACTCCTCCCTTTTCAGGGTTTCCTATTTCTGTCAGTGACGTCAACTCTGTCAGAGTCACACACGCTCAAAAACTACAGTCATCTCTGACACCTCTTTCTACTTAATCACCAAGTTGTGTCAATTTTTCCTACAAAGTGGCTCTCACCTCATCGCTCTCCTGTTCCTGCCTCTCTAACTGGCCAAAACCTCATCTCCAGACTATCACAAAAGCCTCCCTGCCTCTGTGCTTTTTTGCTCCAATACAGTGCCCTGGTTTTCCTCTAACATCTCTCAAGAGCTCTACCTTTTGTCCCTGACTCCAAATGATGTTTTGGGGTTTTTTGCTTTTCTTTCCCCTGCAAGTGTTCTGCATTACACCCTTTTCTCACTCTGTACCCTTTCATCCGCTAGGGTCTTAACTACTCCTCTCAGCTGTGATTCTCATCCTTAAGTCCTGGTCTTTCCTCAAATATTGCTACCTGCCTGTTGGACATATTTCACTGTATGTTCTGCTCACTCCTCCAGCTCAACATTTCTAAACTGTAGTCACTGTCCCCACCAGACCTTCTTCTTTTGACCTGCCCTTTTCCTTGGTATCACCATTTCCAAAAGCATGAAACTTTGGGTGACTCCCATTCCTACTACTGTCAGGAATCAACCTAACACCATATTTTTCTATCACACTCCTTAGAGGCTTGTACTACTCTTCATCTGGATTATAAGTCCCAAATTATTTAGGCTCCAAAATACTCTACTCACTGCTACCAAACTAATCTCCATAAAGAATCATGTTGATGCCCTCAGTGGCTTCCCACAGCCTTCCAAATGAAGTCCCAACATCTGAGACTGGTATCAAAGGGTCAGCCCTTCCTTTCCAGTCATCTCCCACTCCCCTACCATCATAGATCCTGGGCTCTGTAAGTGGATGAATCACTCTTCTCCCAATATACCCTAAACCCTGTTGATTTTGAACTGCCTATGCTATTCCCTTCAACATATCTTTCTGCCTACAAAGATTTTACCTAGTTTACAATGCCAGTTCAATTCTACCTCCTCCAAGAAGGCTTCTCTTAATCATCCAGCTGTAAGTCGTAACTACCCCAAAGATCTCCCATAGTACTTTGTACTTCTAGCAGAGTATCAGGCTAATTGTGTTTTAACTCTTAGACTGTAAGCTCTGGTAAGTTAACCGTTTTATTCGCCTCTGTTTCTTCACAGTGCCTTGAACATTAATAAGTTCTCAATAAAAACATGTTAAATTAATGGTCCCCTGGAAGAACAGTGTGGGGCAAAGTCATCTGCAAATAAGGCCTTTATGTGCATTCTCACATCATTTTACCACTTTCAGATCATCTTGACCTTCACTCCACATTCTTATACTGCCTTAGAGTCTCTCATCTAATTTGCCAGTAGAGGCTTTAACAAGATTTTTAATTCCATTGTGGTACTTTATGTAATCCTTCAAAATAAGGTATTAAGTATTGGTATTGTCCTATTTGCCCAAATTTCCACTGATCTCTTACTTCCAGTTTCATGCTGCCTTTCTGGTAGTATATTCAAGAATATTTATTCCCTCATCTAATACCAATTTAGTATCTATTAAGGCTGAGATTCTGTCAATAAAACATGTAAGACCGGAAAATTCCAAATAAAACAGAGGCCAAAGTGAGACAGAGAATAACAAAGGAAAGCTTCCTTTGTAAGAGGGTGTTTGGGGTCAGATCTTAAATGATACTGTGGTTAAGAATTGAAAGAAAAGAAGGGGAAGTCAAAGAGTTCACCAAGGTATTGCATCTAGAAGATTCAGAGTTGATGGTAAATGACTTGACTCTTTGTGAAAGCTGCTAGCTAAGTAATGGGAAAGGAGAAATATGAGCAAATTGGTTAGAAAAATAAGGAGAGCATGCAGAAACAAACAGGAAGAGCTACTTATTTCAAGAAGGGAATGGTCAAAGGTGTCAAGGGCTATCACTCTACCAAAAAGATTATGAGCTTATAAAATCAGCCCTAGATATGGCTGGAAAGGAGTCATTGGTGATTTCTTTGTTTTTATTTTATTTATTTATTTTTTTGAGATGGAGTCTCACTCTGTCGCCCAGGCTGGAGTGCAATGGCATGATCTTGGATCATTGCAACCTCTGCCTCCCAGGTTCAAGCGATTCTCCTGCCTCAGCCTCCCAAGTAGCTGGGATTACAGACATGCAACACTATGCCCAGCTAACTTATTTTAGTAGAGACGGGGTTTCACCATGTTGGCCAGGCTGGTGTCGAACTCCTGATCTCAGGTGATCCACCTACCTTGGCCTCCCAAAGTGCTGGGATTACAGGCGTGAGCCACTAAGCCCGGCCCATTGGTAATTTCTGAATACGGTTTCAGTGAGGCAACAAGACAGAAGCAAAAATGCAATGCTTCAGGGAGGGAGACAGACAGTAAAGAAACAAAATCTGAAAAATCAACAACTAGAGGGAAGTTAGTCATTAAAAGGCAGGAAAGGAAAAAAAACATGCAGAAATGGGCTAGCAGCAAGAATGAGCATCTGGGTTACAAGAAGTTTTCCCCTAATACTTGGGGGAACTGAGATATTCAAAAACAGAAAGAAGTATTCCATAAAGAGGGAAGATGCCAGGATAGAGTTTATAATGCTGGTTTATAAAAAATCTGATTATAAATACCAATGACTTATTTCCAGGATTAAAATAAACACTATTATTTACTCATACTGCTCAAATCTGGACTATCAAAGCTGTAACTGCTGGGGGTGAGATGAAGCCCACGTCCACACCTATCTCTGCTACATGGTCAGGCCTGGTCTCAAGACCAAGGAGACAAGCACTACAGCCCAGAAGCAGCATGAGCCTGGTTGGCCATCTCCAGAACAGCTTGCCAGGAGCACAAAGGCTGTGGCTCTAGCTGTGTGATGGACCACATAATTACAGTCTTATAGACTCCTAGAGCTTTGAAGTCTCATTAGTAACTTCTAAAACATGCCCCGCAGACCACCTTTCCTGAACTGAGGTACAATGTATGTAGTAAAAGAGACTCCAGTGTATATAAACAAACTTACCACAGAAACAAGTGTAGGTATTAGGAACATGTGCAGAAACATTCTGACAGGCAGGGCACCTCCAACCACTCTGGCCATCTGTCAGGAAAAATGGGAGTAGGCCAAATAAATTTTCTTCCAAAAGCTACATGTAATTAAAAAAATTTAAATCTATAGGAAGACACAATATTGAAGTAGTGGTAATAATTTCAATGTTAAGCATATCAGACATTTAAGGAACAAATTCACAATACTGACTGCTTAGCTTGAATACAGCATTTTCCACTAAATATGGGGTTCATTAAAAAAAAAAAAAAAAAAAGGCCAGGTGTGGTGGCTCATGCCTATAATCCCAGCGCTTTGTGAAGCAGAGGTGGGTGGATCACAAGGTCAGGAGATTGAGACCACCCTGGCTAACATGATGAAACATCATCTCTACTAAAAATGCAAAAATTAGCTGGGCGTGGTGGTGCGCGCCTGTAATCCCAGCTACTCAGGAGGCTGAGGCAGAAGAATCACTTGAACCTGGGAGGTGGAGGCTGCAGTGAGCCGAGATCGTGCCACTGCACTCCAGCCTGGGCAACAGAGTGAGACTCCCTCTCAAAAAAAAAACAAAAACAAACAAAAAAAAACCACTAGCTAGGCATGGTGGCTCATGTGTCTAATCCCAGCATTTTAGGAGGCTGATGCAGAATTGCTTGAGCCTGGGAGTTCAAGACAAGACTGGGCAACACAGCAGACCGTCTCAAAAAAAAAAAAAATTAGCTGGATGTGGTGGCATGTGCCTGTAGTCTCAGCTGCTTGGGAGTCTGAGGCAGGAGGATCATTTGAGTCCAGGAATTCAAGGCTGCAGTGAGACATGATCACACCACTGGACTCCAGCCTGGGTAACAGAGTAAGACTCTGTCTCAAAAAAAAAAAAAAAAAAAAAATACAGTTAGATAGAAGGAATAAGATCTAGTGTTTAGTAGCACTATGGCTAACAACAATTTATTATATATTTCAAAATAACTAGAAGAGTAGAAATGGGATGCTCCTAACACAAAGAAATGATAAATATTTGAGGTGTTGGAATCCCCATATGCCAATTACCCTGATTTGATCATTACACATTGTACGCTTGTATCAAAATATCATGTGTACCCCATAAACATGTAAACTATTACGTATGCATAGTAAAAATTTAAAAATGAAAAAAAAATGTTTTTTTGTTTGTTTGAGACAGGGTCTTGCTCTGTCACCCAGGCTGGAGGGCAGTGGTGCAATCTCAGATCACTGCAATCTCCACCTCCTGGATTCAAGCAATTCTTGTGCCTCAGCCTCCCGAGTAGCTGGGATTACAGGTGCCCGCCACCACGCCTGGCTAATTTTTATATCTTTAGTAGAGATGGAGTTTTGCCATGTTGGCCAGGCTAATCTTGAACTTCTGACTTCAGATGATCCGCCTGCCTTGGCCTCCCAAAGCGCTGGGATTACAGGCGTGAGCCATCATGCCTGGCCAAAAATGAGAAGAAGATAAATTAAAAATAGAATTACCATATGATCCTGCAATCACACTTCTGTTTATGTATCCACAGGAAATAAAATCAGTAGGTCAAAGAAAAAATAATAAGTAAAAGCCATCATTTTCAATAAGAGTGACTGATTTTGTCGTATCTTAAAATATATTTTAATATTGTTGTTTAGCTGGTTTATTTAAGATCTATAACTTAATTCTGGTCATATGAAACACATGATCAAGGTAACATACTCTCCCTGCAGAAAAAGTAGTTAAGAGAAATTAAACTGTATTTTTAAAGCTGGGCTTAATAATACTTAAACGTATCAAATAGGGGAGAATAACTACTCAGAAGAGAGAATTAATTGACCTGCTTGAGATGCTGGAGACCTTGCCCATTTCTTTATGCAGTTCAAATGAAACACATGGTAACAGCTCTGACAACTCCACACTGGGGCCGTGACACGAACCAATTCACAGCACACCATGCACTCGTATTTTTCTGTTGTTAGTTGTTCAATTAGAGAACCTGTTTAAAAAACAAAATAACAAAAAAGATTAACTCAAACACAAAAAACCATTCCTCACTTTAATCAACCAAGGATCAGCAAGTCACTCAAGAGAAGAATCCAAACACAGAGATTTTAAGGGATATCTGATTCTGGGTAAGGCAGCTGGCTATTCAGACTGAGGCCAAAAAGGGGCAGGAATTTGCTGAGGAAGAGGATTTAGGAAGGAGACACTCAGGTGGGGATTCCCACAATTAAGGAAACATTCCCAGGAAAACAGCAGAGTAGCCAAATGCCCCTTGTAACATAGCCTGAGGATCCACTGGGCAATACAGGATCTTGCTTTGCATTTTCTATTTTCCAGGATCCTCTAAATCTATCAGATCCATGGATTTAGGTTAGAAAGAGGCTCGTGAAGCTGTAGTGTCAGCTATAAGAAGCCCAAGTCTGGGCAGGTTCCAACAACCCATGAGTGGTGAGATGGCTCTAGCCGTTGCCCTCAAAGTCTTTAGTCATTCACTTAACAAAGATATTCTTGGTGCCTACCATAAGCCCCATGGTGGTGTTACAGTCCCTGGCTCCAGGAGCTCAAAGTCCAGTGACACAGACCAGTGTGTAGTATCAGAATAATCCTCCCAGATCTATTCCTGAATACCTTCACCCACTTCCAGATTTTTTTCCTCAAACACAATTGCAGCAAAGTCTTTCTAGATTTCAATACAGCCAGATACTCTCAAAACTGAGTGTGAGTGTGTGTATATGCTTTTTTGAGTACATACTTTTAGCACTGCATTTATTTCATAATATTATTGTTATTTGCTTTCAGGTCTAAATAAGTTAAAAGAATAAAATTAACCTTAAATACAACATTGCAAGCACATTACATATTATTATTTAGTCCTCTCAAAAAGGCTGTAACAGGTTGGACACGGTGGCTTACACCTGTAATACCAGCACTTTGGGAGGCCAAGGCGGGCAGATCATGAGGTCGGGAGATCAAGACCATCCTGGCCAACATGGTGAAACCCCATCTCTACTAAGAATACAAAAATTAGCTGGGCGTGGTGGAGTGTGGCTGTAATCCCAGTAGTAATCCAAGGAGGATGAGGCAGGAGAATCTCTTGAACCCGGGGGCGGAGGTTGCAGTGAGCCGAGATTGCACCACTGCACTCCAGAGTGAGACTCCGTCTCAAAAAAAAAAAAAAAAAAAAAAAAAATGCTATAACATAGGTACCATTTTACAGATGAAGAAACTGGCTTCATGTAGTTAGATCATTTATCCAAGGTCACACAACTAGAAATTTAAAAGTCAAAATTCAAACTTGTCAAACTATCTGACTCAAAAGCGCACACTGTAATATTCCATAATATTGGCTCTCCTAAGATTTACTTTCTGATTGTTCAGTTTAATGTCAAAAGAAATAGAGAACACCCTGAGACTGAAAGCTCAGGAGAAGGGAGAGTTTTGTCTACCTTGCTGAGTGTAGTATTTCCAGTGTCTGGCATATACTAGGTGCTCCATTAAATATTTGTTAAATTCATGGATAAAGGAATAAATGAGTGATATTTAGTCTGTTCCACAACCTCTTTCTGTGAAAGTTACAGGCGTCACCAAAGTTTAGGCTCGAGTGCAGTGGCATGATCGTGGCTCACTGCATCTTCAAACTCCTGGGCCCAAGCGATCCTCCCACCTCAGCATCCTGAGTAGCTGGGACCACAAGCGTGTGCCACTATACCTGGCTGATTTTTTTGTTAGTTTTTGTAGAGATGGGGTCTACCTCTGTTGCCCAGGATGGTCTTGAACTCCTGGGCTCAGGTGATCCTCTTGACTCGGTTTCCCAAAGTACTGGGATTACAGAAATTTAACCAAATTAAACAAAAATCTTCCCTGAATAAGAAGTAAATAAAACAAGAGCAGAAACATCTTTTCCAAAAAGGAAAGATGAAGAAACTGTCAGAGATGGTAGGAGACTCAGGAGACATGACTAAATGCAACGTGGTATCCTGGATTGGGTCCTCAAACAGAAAAAGGACATTGGCAGAAAAACTGGTGAAATCTGAATAACATCTGTAGTTTAGTTAATATGATTATACCAGTGCTAATTTCTTAGTTTTAACAAAGGCAGTCTGGTTATGTAAGACGTTAACATTAGAGGAAGTTGGGTGAAAGATATATGGGAATTCTTTGAACTATCTTTGCAACTTTTCTATAAATCTGAAATTATTCCAAACTGAAACATTTTACAGACAAACACCTTTTTCTCTACTAGGCTTTGACACTTCAGTAAATGCCAATTCCATTCTTTTAAGTTGCTCAGGCATAAAATCTTCCTTCCAAATACATCCAAAATCTATCCAATTGTTACCTTTTCCACACTATTACTCCAGTCTAAGTCTCCATCATCTCCTACCTGAACAACTGCAATAGCCTCCTAACTTGTCCTGTTGCCTTCTTAGAGCCTATTCTCCACACAGCAGCTTAATAATATTTTTTTTTTTGAGACAGGTTCTTATTCTGTCACCCAGGCTAGAGTGCAGTGGCACAACCACTACTTACTGCAGCCTTGACCCACTGGGCTCAAGCGATCCTCCTAGTTCAACCTCTTGAGTAGCTGGGACTATAGGCATGTGCCACCACGTCCAGCTAATTTTTATTTTTTTGCCTTTTGCAGAGATGGGGTCTCATTAAGTTGTCCAGGCAGGTCTTGAACTCCTGGGCTTAAGCAATCCTTCTGCCTTGGCCTTCCAAAGTGCTGGGATTACAGATGTGAGCCACCACATCCAGACCCTAAGTGATTATTTTAGAATGTAAGTTCATGACATCCCTCTTCCCAGGACCTTCCAGCAGCCTCTCATCTTACTCAGAACCAAATCCAAGGGACTCACATGATCCAGCCCTTGCTATTTCTCTGACCACCTTTCCTGCCCCTATCTTCATTGCCTATAATACCCCTCCCCACATCTAAATTTGCTCCTCCCTCTGCCTAGAATGCTCTTTCTCAAGCTAGCCACATGGTGCATTTCTGTACTTCATTCTTGTCTCTGTTCAAATGTCTCCTTATCAAAGAGGTCAACCTATGTAAAATAGCACTCTTGTCACTCTGTCTTCTTAACCTTCTTAATATTTCTTTTTAGTCCTTATCACCACCTGACATATTAAATATCTAAGTGCTTTCTGCCTGTCTTCCCTACCAGAATGTAAATTCCATCAGCATTCCCTGTACCTAGAACAGTGCTTGGTATATAGTATTTATGCAACAAATATGAATGAAGTGTTCTCAAAAATGATATGAATAATGTGAGAATGTTAAGGCCCCAAGAGATTTGTTAAATAGAATTCTAAGATGGTCTTCCAGATTCCCACCTCCCTGGTATGCATACCCTATATAATCTCCTCCCCTTGAGTATGGGTGGGCCTGACTTAATCAAGTAAGCCATTTTAAAAGAGTTGAAAATCAAACAGAAGTCAGAGAGATCTGAAGTGGCAGCAGCTGCTTTCCCGCAGGCCTCAAAGAAGCAAACTATCATGTTGTGTACAGAGTCATGTGGCAGGGAAACACAGGTGGCCTCTAGGAGCTGAGAGAGACACCCCTGGCCAACAGCCAGCAAGAAAACAGGAACCTCAGTCCTACATCTGTAAGGAACTGAATCCTACCAACAACCAGTGACTGAAAGAGAACCCTGAGCCTCAGATGAGATCACATGCCTAGCCAAATTTGGAGACACTGAGCAGAGAACCCAGCTAACCAGGACCCATTCATCTGACCCACAGAAACAGTGGCATAGTAAATGTGTGTTATCATAAGCCACTACATTGTGATAATTCACTATAAAGCAAGAGGTAATTATTAACCAGCCTTAAGGATTCAGTAACAACTCTGGTATAACATTGCTTTGCTTCACATATACATTGAGGTTCCAAGAATAATCCTGATAAAGCAAGAAACTAGAACTATAGGCTGGTGTAAAAACAGGCCCTGGGTAGATGGTGGCTTCAAGGGTTGGGCTGTATCTCACATTAAACTGGAGAGGGATTAAGATAGTGAAGGTCCAGGAGGAAGAGCTAGCAGAATAAAACTATTCAGCTTGATGAAATATACACTTAGGGCAAAATGATAGATGTCTTCGAATACTGCAAAAAGCTGATTTGCAGTAAGGAGAGGGGGAGCTGTGAGAAGACAGACTAGTTACTATGCTGCTCCGGAGGATAAAACTTGAACCAAAGGATAGGAAGGAAAGGAAAGAAGCTTTCAGTTCAATATAAGGATGAACTTTTTAATGGTCAGAACTGAGTACCTACTATGTTTCAAGAGCTGTGTGGGGCAGCAGGGTCACAAAAAAAGAAAAGAAATATACAGTGTCTGTTTTTAAGGAGCTTACAGACTAGTGGAGGACAATGAAGCATAAATAAATTATGGTTTCCAGTGTAAGTTCTGTAATAGAAGCATGCAAATTTAAGAGAAAGACATAAGCGTGAGGGCTGTAAGAGATTAACGCTATCTATAAAGGTGAGAAAAGGTTCCCTGGACATGTGACTAAAGTAACTTTTTTCCCCCCGCAAAACAGGGTCTTGCTCTGTTATCCAGGCTGGAGTACAATAGCTCACTGCAGCCTCGATCTCCTGGGCTCAAGTGATCCTCTCACTTCAGCTTCCTGAGTGTCTGGGACTACAGGCATGTGCTAACATGCCTGGCTAATTTTTTTATTTTAATTCTTTTGTAGTGACAGGGTCTCCTTATGTTGCCCAGGCTGGTCTTGAACACCTGTGTTCAAGTGATCCTCTCACCTCAGCCTCCCCAAGTGCAGGAATTACAGGTGTGAGCCACCATGCCTGGCCTAAAGTAGCTTTTGAAAAATGAGTAAGACTTCGTCAGCGAACTGAGTGACAGAAATTCTAAAGAGAGGGAGCCACATGCAACACCATGCAAAGACAAAAAAGTGTAGAATCCAGGGAATAAAATGTGGTAGATATTGAGGCAGCAGAAGATGGGACTGTTGAGTAAGGCAGAAGCAGTAAACGGAATTAAGCAGAGGAGTGACACAGTTTAATGTGTGTTTTAGGCAGGGCGCAGTGGCTCACGCCTGTAATCTCAGCACTTTGGGAAGCCGAGGCGGATCACCCGAGGTCAGAAGTTTGAGACTAGCCTGGCCAACATGGTGAAACCCCATTTCTACTAAAAATACAAAAATCAGCCAAGCATGGTGGCGGGCGCCTGTAATCCCAGCTACTCGGGAGGCTGATGCAGGAGAATCATCTGAACCCAGGAGGAGTTGCAGTGAGCTGGGATCGCACCACTGCACTCTAGCCTGGGCAACAGTGAGACTCCTCTCAAAAAAACAAATAAATAAAATATGTGTTTTATAAAGATTGCTCTCTGATGCTGGTTTAAGAGGTGAACTGAAAGAGAGAAATTAAGAGATGATAAGACCAGTTAGGAACTGCTGCAACTAAGCAGACCAGATGAGGCAGATTAGATGATGCAGGATGAAACCAAAAGAGGCAGCAGAGATGTTACCACCCACCACTTGTTTTCACAACTCAAAAAAAATCTTGTAACCAGACATCTACACCACCCGTATTTGCATTTTTGAAAACCCTTACAAAATTCCTCATTTGGAAAAGAAAAAGAATTCTTATTTGTATTTGCTTGTGATATGCATAAAACTAAGTGGTTACCTATTGGGGCAGGGAGCAGCGAGTGGTGGTAGAACTTAGGCAGACAGTGAATAAAGATTGAGACTTTTTACAGTGTAACTTTCCATACTTTCTGCTTTCTAAATTATGTGAATATATGACTTATTTAAAAATTTAAATTAAAAAGACAACAAAATATTTCCTATCTAGGTAGGTTTACCTGTGTGCGTTTCCACATTCTTTAGCACATGGTTCTGTTTGCCTCGGGAGAAAGGAGATACTACTTGAGGATCCTGCCTCCGTACAGTGCATTTCTCTTGGTCAACCCTCCTGGAAGACTTGTTGATGACTGCCAAGTTCTCACTGTCACAGGTAGATTTTGCTGGTCTTTCATTGAGGTCATCCTTTGGAATGGGGCCCATGTTGTTTCTGTGTCCTGCGTTTGTATGTCGGTGGCCCTCCTGTTTTGGTGGATTTCTGCCTGGTCGTGGCCTGGCCCCCTCCACTTCCCAGGGAGGCCTTTTCTGTGGGTATCTTCTCTGCTCATTTCGTCTGGCTCCATACCCATCCAATACTCCTTTTCTAGAGGATGCCTCTGAAGAGTCAGGGTGGAAAACCCCCACAGGTTTGGTACTTTCGGGTCCAGCATCCTCCGGTTTTGGAGTTGTTCGGTTACTCCATTCACATTTGAGTTTCCCCTTGACTTTTGGTCCTCTACCATAGCTGTATACAAACTGTGTTGCTTTTTTGGGTTTTGCTCCCCTGGGATCTGCACCCACAACTTCCTTCTCACTCTCAGAAGGACTATGCTCTCTGAGGTCTGTCCCACTCTCTGATCTGGTCGAGCTCTCTAATCCAGCTGTATCTGAGGTCTGCTCAGCAAGACTCTGTGCTTTCTTGACTCTGATATGGTGCTTCTCATTCCTCAATTTCTGCCAAGGTTGATTCTGAAGGCCATGGCTCTTGGGCGATTTATTACAAGGAGAGGACTGGAAAGACGTCTGCTGACTCTTAGGTTTGCTTCCTGACGGATGATAACTATGCTGATGAACAGCAGAGATTTCATCATAAGGGACCTGCCTGGAAAGGTGACAGGGAGGTGGTGAACTGTAATTTCTTCTACCAATCCTATTAGAGTCTAGTCTCCTTTGAGTCCCACAATTTAGACCAGAATTTTTTTTCTCCTGAGGAATGAATTCAGCAGCATCTGTATTGAATTTAAAAGTACCTAGGACATAAAAAATAGACATGCCAGTAAAGAGATTAAACTTCATCCATGAAACTCATAGACTCCAAGCCAAATCTAAAAATTACTTTCCTTAGAACTTTGTATAAAACATGCTGTTAAGTAAGAACTATGTTTCCAGTGAAGGTGATGGGTTCAAGGTGCTTGTGGAGGACTAATCAATCATTATTCCATGTCCAAAAACCAAACACCAATAGCCAATGACAGCTAAGTGTTGTCGAGTAAAAATGCTCACCTGGGCCATAAAGTACTATGTATACATCTATTCATTTTATTACAAAAATTTAAGGCCAGCTAACAGTTCAGGGGTATCAATCATCAGGTTCCATGTGGTCTTCTTTCAAAACAGTAAAGTAGCATTGTGTAATATCAAGTAAACAGGCTTTGGACTAAGCCAAAATGGGTTAAAGTCCACCTGTCCAACTTATTGTATGAACTTAGGGATATCACGTGCCTGCTTTTAGCCTTAGTTTCCTTGTCTATGGTAAAGGATGACAATACTTATTTCAACGGTTACTGAGAAATTTAAATATGATTTCATAGATAGTACTTAATAAGTGTATTAGTTTTCATCTCTTTCCCCTAGGAATATATTTTGGGTTTTCCATACATAACCTCTATAATCTGGTCTACAATCCCAAAGTGGAAAAAATTAAGCATACTCCCCTTCAACCCACTCATGTTCCCCCAGAAGATGCTTCTTGGTACAGTCAATTCAGTCCCTGAAGCACAAAGACAAAATGGTTTGCCTAAGGACATAAAATTAGTAGCAAAGTCAGAACTATGTGTAGCATACAGAATATACTATAAATTGGTAAGACCTGGAAGACATGGGTTTAAGTCACTTATCACTTATTTTAACTTCAGGAAAGTTACTTAGCCCCATTTTCCTTACATGTAATGAAGATAGTAACAACCTCTATATCAAAGAGTTGCAGTGAAGAGTAAAGCAAGTTAATAACACACACAAAATGGTTAAAATGGTACTCTATCATTGCTGTTAGGACTACAGAGGATCTGAAACACACAGGCTTGAGCATTGATGGGTGCAGTATAGAGCCTGAGGGTTTCAGGTTTAATAATAAGGCCTAACATTTATTAGGTATTATGTGCCAGGCACTATCCTAAGCACTTTACATGTATTAACTCATTTAATCCTTACATTCCTGATGAGAAAACTGAAGCACAGAGAGTAGGAACTTGCCCAAGGCCACAGAGGAATTCCAAGGAAGACTCGGGGTTCCAACTCAGTTTGTGTATTAGAGACTGCGCTCTTACACTAACAGAGCTTGGGCAGTGGGTACCATAGAAACATACAGTGAAAAATGGAATGATCATAAAGGTCATAGAGTAACCTCTCACCCAATTCAGGATTTGTCCTGAAAGCTTTCACATAGGCAGAATTCTAGGGGATGGGATGGAGGGCCTCACAAAATCACAAAAGGATTAGACAAATGCAGAGGGTGGCAGAGGTATTCTGGAAACATAAGATAATTTAAAGGTTGGAATGGTTAAATTGGACCAGTGGGTATTGTGTAGTTCTCGCTTGCTTGAAAAAGCGAGACTGGAAAGAGGGGCAGAAATAAGATCAGTAAAGATGTCTAGAGAAGCCTAGTAAAGGATAGGAAAAGAGTGTTTCTCGTTAAGCAGTAATGAGTTGATGCAACTAGAGAATCCAGAGAAGGCTGCATGTACTCATATACAGGATATGTTCAACTAGACATGAGGCAGCAGGCAAAGCCCTCAGGAAAAAAACCCATAAGAGACATGAGGAAGGGAAACAGGACACATTGATCAGGAAACTGGCCATGGCAAAGATCAGAGGCACCATTTTTATTTCACTATTTCAAGTAGCTGGAAGTTAGTAAACAGGATGTCTAGTCACCACGGCTAGAATACAAGTGGTACCCTAAATCCAAGATAACACAGCAGCACAGTAGGTGTCCAACAGGTGGGAAAGGCAGACTAAAGGGAAATCCAACTGGCAGATTACAAAGTCCAGAGACAAGGCTGGCATTGCAGAGTCTGCTCACCGGCAGAAAAGTATCCTCTGCACTGGGCTTCTGTTTAAAGACTTTGATGATGAGGGTGTGGGCTAAAGATGATGCTAAAATACGAACATGGAATGGGAACTAAAGCAAAATCAAACTAAAGCACATGAAAAGGAGTAAGGAGGTCTTTGGACTAGAAGATTTTGCCTCATTAGATACTTTCTGGGTTGGAGGTAATAACTTGGGCACAACACCAAAGTTCAACACGAAGACTCACAACTAGGCCCCACCGAATTCTTCTTCAAACACTGAAGGGTACAGAAATGAGTCAGAAACGAGCCTGTGGATGAGACGATCAATAGATCCAGTTTAGAGAATCTGGTGAAGGACTAGGTGAGGAGAATAACAAAATACCCAGCCCAAAAAGTTTTCCAACCCCAAGGAAGACTTAATATCCACATCAAGACTAGGGTACACCAATGCAGTGTGTTTTCCAACTTTTTTTTTTGAGACGAAGTCACACTCTGTCGCCCAGGCTGGAGTGCAGTGGCACGATCTTGGCTCACTGCAACTTCCGCCTCCAGGGTTCAAGCAATTCTCTTGCCTCAGCCTCCGGAGTAGCTGGGACTACAGGCGCGTGCCACCATGCCCAGCTAATTTTTTGTATTTTTAGTAGAGACGGGGTTTCACCGTGTTAGCCAGGATGGTCTCGATCTCCTGACCTCGTGATCCGTCCACCTCGGCCTCCCAAAGTGCTAGGATTACAGGCGTGAGCCACCACGCCCGGCCCTAACTTTTTAAACTAAGAACCATAGTAATAAATACATTTTACCTGCCACCCAGTATACAAATACATATATGGTCTTCTTGGTGCCCCAACGGCTGGTCAGGGACAGAGCTGAGATTCAAACCAATGGTTTCCAAACTCCATTCTGCAAACTGCTGCCCTGTTTTCCAGAGTGGGCCATAAAATCAAATGAAGGCAGTGGGCTGTGACATATTTTTAAACGAAACAGAAAACAGAATATATTGCTGATTGTAAAACAAACCAACCAACCTCACTGCTTCCAGAAACTTCTGGTTCGCTTTTATATTTATGTAAGTGTACAATATTTAAGGTCGCGATGCAAAATGTTTCTTTTGGTTGCTGTCCAACACATTTGGAAAACACTGATCTATGGAACACCCTGAGGAAATGGATGTTATATCAACGAACAAATGAGGCTGTCTCTACACACTGAGGCAACTCCAGGAGGGGGAGTGAGTGAACAATTACAGAATAGGTACAGTACAGGGCGGGAGCCATCACAGGAATTAACTTATCTACTCCCAACTGACAGATGAGGAGACTGAGACTGAGTCACACGGGGTTCGCAGCAGGCTGAGACTCTAAACTACTGGAATTCGGCTCGCGCCCACGCCACCACTCCAGGCGGTATGAGCACACCACACCCTACACGTCAAGAGCCCGCCACCGTCACTGGCTGTGACCTGGCCGACGCCCGCCTGTCGAAGGTCAGTGCGCCGCTGCCCCAGAAACAGCCTGTGGGAAGGCAGGGCACCCACATCGACTCGCAGCGCCGGGACAAGTCCTCTCTCCTCCGAAACCCAGCTACTGGGCTTCACCATCTAGTCCAAGAAGACACAGATCTTCGTACGCACGATGCGCGGGGCTTGGCCCTTCCGAGCCACTATCCTACGCCCTAGCATGTGCTACTCTCGCGATATGAGTGGCTGAGGCCCTAGAACTTCGTCACTGACCCAATTTCCGCTCCCTGAAAGGGGCCCAGTCCCGCTCGGGCCGGGACAATACCTGAGACAGGAGGCGCCTCCGCCATCCCGTGCCGCAGAACCTAGATCGAGCTGTACAGCCAAGTCAGCACTGTCACCAGGTCACGTGCCCCGGACTTCCGGCGCCGCGAGAATATTCGCATCTGCGCGCCGTGTAGACGGCCACAGAGGTTGCGCAGCCCGAATCTGTGTGGCGCGTTCGTGACGTCAGATAGACGCGCCAGGTGTCGGGCGGGAGGAGGAGACTAGTAGCTGGATGGAAATAGCAACAATCGCAGGAGGGAGGGCGGCGACTTGCGTAATCATTGTGGTTTTCCTTTTTTTATTTTTTGATATAGGGTCTTGCTGCCTTACCCAGGCTTGAGTGCAGTGGTCTGATCATGGCTCACTATAGCTTCAGTCTCTAATCCTCCCGCCTCAGCCTTCCGGTAGCTGGAACTACAGGCGGAGCCACCATGCGCAGCTATTTTTAGTAGAGACGGGTTTCGCCATGTTGCCCAGGCTAGTCTCTCCAACTCCTGGCCTCAAGCGATCCTGCCGCTTTGGCCTCCTAAAGTGCTTGGCTTACAGGCGAGCCACCACGCCTGGCTCCAGACTTTTTTTTTTTTTTTTTTTTTTACAAAGGCGTTTATTCTCATCAGTATCACCGATATTCTCATGGTTCACATTTGCCAACGCCGCTCCTCTCCTTACAGTAGTTAAATGTGCAATCTCACTTGGGGGCCCAGGGAGGGGTGGGGGCTCGGCCCAGGGTGGGGAGGGCGTTGGCACTTCACGTGGACAGGGTGGGCAGCCTGTCCTGCGTGAAAGAGGTGTGGGTGAGTGGGCGGCCAGGGAAGGGGAGTTGGCAGGGGAGGGCCCCGCAGTCTTTTTTTCTTTGGTGGTTGGTGATTCTCCATTCAGATTCCTTCCTGGCTTCCCAGGGTAGGGGAACCATGCAGCTCAGGGCAGGGCAGGGGAGGAAGAGAAGGAAAAAGCAGCAGGCCGCCCGGGGGGAAAGGTGGAGGGTGAACGGCAGGGCAAGGGGGAACGGGTGGCTCCTGAGGTAAGGCACAACCCTGTCTTTGGCTTTCCTGGTGAGGAGTTTCCTCCCCTGCACCCCCTGCCCGACGCTTCTCCCCACCCCCCCACCCCCCAGACCCACACACAGTCCCAGGAGCCAGGGGGCACCACCTCCTGGGGTCCCTGAAACAAGTGGGCTCTGCCACCCAAGCCAGTGCCGCAGGGGCTCGAGGAGGGACACCCGAGGAAAAGGCAGAGAGGGGCAGGCAGGGGCCTACCCAGGACAAGGGGGTGGGGGTGAGAAGACCCTAGGCCCAGGAGCTGGGCCCCCCGCCCCAACTAAGTCCTGGAAGTGGGGGAGCACCTGCTTCCTTTCGGGGGTCTGGCTGGAGCCCCGGTCTGCCCCTTGGCCTCCGTCAGGCCCAGCCACTTGCCAAGTGACCAGGGCATTGTGCTTTGGGGTAAACGCTGGGGTGGGGTGGCAGGCCAGGAGGCAGGGGGAGAGGAGGGATGACTAAGGTGCTTGTGCTTTAGCTGGGGGTGTCGATATCCCCCACTCGGGCCGGCTGGGGGCTAAGGTGCCAGGCCCCGGCCAGGAAGACAGTGCCAAGACCCCAGCAGACCGTGGCACTGACCCCCACAACAAGCAGATGTTAAGAGGGACCCCCAGTGGGCCAGCGGGGCTGCTGGTCCCATCAGGGGGATGGTCTTCAAATCAGATTACAAGGGTCCAGTAGGGGCTGGCCCCCACCCCATCTCCTGAAATCCCCCTGCCCCTGGAGAGACCCCTGGGAGCAGTAGGTAGGCGGGGGTTGGGGAGGCAGAGGAGAGGCAGGGAGGACGAGGGCCAGAAACGCAAACAAGGATGTGGATGGTGAAATGACACCCCGCATAGGGGGATGGGGAGTTAAAAAAGAAAAAAAACTCTCTGCCTTCACATGAAAATCTAAAACAACAACAAAAAACCACCCACTCTGGGCGAGAACAAAAAGAGAGGAATGGTAACAGAGAAAATTCTGCAAACAACTGCTAACAATGGAAGTGGACCCGGCCCTGCCCTGCCCTGCCCTGCCCAGCCCCCAGGAGCTGGGCCCAGCCAACCAGCCAAGGCCTGGGACACCCTGAAACTATAGCCCTGTTGGGGAAGGTGGACAGGGGAGGGGGAACCCGGTCGGACCCACAGGAGCCTAGGCAGCAGCTGGGACTGGAGTCCTACACCCACACTCCACACACACCCACACCCACACACACACACACACACACACTCAGCCTGCCCCCCAGCCCCCCAACACCACCCTGCCTTCCAAGGCCCCCCCACCCCTGGGGACCGAGGGGGACAACAGACACAGCCCCATTGGTTTGAAAAATAAAAGGAATCTTATCACTCTGTCGCCTAGGCTGGAGTGAAGTGGCACCATCTCGGCTCACTGCAAACTGCCTCCCGGGTTCAAGCGATTCTTGCGCCTCAGCCTCCCAAGTAGCTGGGATTACAGGCACCCACCACCACGCCCGGCTAATTTTTGTATTTTTAGTAGAGACGGGGTTTCATCCTGTTGGCCAGCTGGTCTTGAACTCCTGACCTCAGGTGATCCACCCACCTAGGCCTCCCAAAGTGTTGGGATTACAGGCGTGAGCCACCGTGCCGGGCCAAACATTTAATGATGGTCTTTTGAGTTTCCTCCTTTTAAAACTGCTTATCCATATCCACTGCCCATTTTTCTTCCTGATGGTTTCTTGTATATTACAGGTGTCACTCGTCAGTTTTAGACATTTAAATTGTCTTCTATTCCATTAAATATTAATTTTGTCCTTTGTTGAACATAAATCCTTAATTTTGACAGCTCATCAAACTTTATAGTCACCTTTAAAAATTACCAGGTGTATCAGTCTGGGTCCAATCAGGAGAGAAGAACCCCACTTTTTGAACAGGAATTACATTTTTTTAATAAGGAAAGTTTTATTTAAAGATTTATTAAGTATAATAGGGGGTTGGAATAATAATGGATTGGCTAGTAAAGAAGCAAGATAATTCCAAAACAGGATTACCATATATAAAGAGCAGCTAGGGCTGAGGTAAGAGTGTCAAAGAAGAGCCGAGACCAGAGCTGGCCTGCAGACCTCGTTAGAGAAAAGACCTGTGGCTCACTGGATGGCATGGAAGTTGCCAGACATTTTTCTTACGGAGTGCTGGTTGAAGCCATTCTTGGGGAGGTGTCTCACCAGAGGTACTCTACTACAAACCATCTGCGGGGAGTGCTAGGAGAAGTTTCTGACAACTGGTCACTATATAGTGCGATAGCCAGGCACTGAAGAAGCCAGTGCATTGCAGAAGCCATTGAAGAAGTTGCCCAGACTACAGAAGCCTGCCCCACTGAAATCAGAAACAGGAGCCAAAACCCTTTTCCTCCTGCAGTATCTCTCCAGTGCCCTCTGCTGACAAGGTTTAATATCTGCCAGCTGGCAAAGAATAAATAAAAGGCCGAAATCCATTTCACAGAGCAAGCAAAAACAATAAATGTAGAACTGAAAGCAAATTCATAATTGGCACTCTACAGAATCTACTCATTATTTTCAAAACTTGTGAATAAATGAAAGTAAGCAAGCATTTATCTTGCCTTTCCTATACAAACTATTTCATGCAACATACTAAAGCTTATGGCAGGTGGTGAAAGCTGCAGGTGGTGAAAGATGGAAATATATAGCTGTAAACACTTATATTTGAAAAAGAACTCCAGATAATGGAATATTATTCAGTGCCCAAAACAAATGAAGCCAGCATGTTGGTGTTTACCTGTAGTCTCAGATACTTGGGAGGCTGAGGCAAGAGGATTGTCTGAGCCCAGGTGATTTCAAGCCCAACCTGGGCAACATAGCGAGATACTATCAAAAAACAAACAAACAAAAAATACCCAAAGACCAGGCATGGTGGCTCATGCCTGTAATCTCAGCACTTTGGGAGGCCAAAGCAGGTGGATCGCTTGAGTCCAGGAGTTCGAGACCAGCCTGGGCAACATGGCGAAACCCAGTCTCTACCAAAAATACAAAAATTAGTCAAGCTTGGTGGTGCATACCTGTAGTCCCAGTTACACAGGAGGCTGAAGTGGGAGGATCACTTGAGCCCAGGAGGCGGAGGCTGCAGTGAGCCAAGATTGCACCACAGCACTCCAGCCTGGGTGACAGAGCGAGATCCTGTCTCAAAAACACCAAACAAGACAAAAAATCCCAAATCCATATGAACTATCAAGCCATGAAAAGACATGGAGAAAACTTAAATGCATATTGCTAAGTGAAAGAAGGCAATCTGGAAAGACCATTTACTATTTGATTCCAACTATGTAACAGTCTGGAAAAGGCAAAATTATAGAGACAGTAAAAAGATCAGTGGTTGACAGGAGTTAAAGGGGAGAGAAGGATGAATAGGCAGAGTACAGAGGACTGCTAGGGTAGTGAACTATTGCTAGGGCAGTGAACTATTCTGCATGATACTACAAAGGGGGATACATGTCATTATATTTGTTAAAACCCATAGAATCACTAGCATGGCGGCTCATGCCTGTAATCCCAGCACTTTGGGAGGCCAAGGCGGATGGATCGCCTGAGCCCAGGAGTTCAAGACCAGCCTGGGTAACGTGGTGAAACCCCATCTCTACTAAAAATACAAAAATTAGTTGGGCATGGTAGCATGCGCCTGAGGTCCCAGCTACTCAGGAAGCTGAGGTGGGATCACTTGAGCCCGGGAGGCGGAGGTTGTGGTGAGCTGAGATCATGCCACTGCACTCCAGCCTGGGTAACACAGTGAGACCCCATCTCAAGCAAAAAACAACAAAAAACCCCATAGAATGTACATCAAGAGTGAACCCTAATGTAAACTATAGACTTCGTGTGATAATAATGTGTCAGTGTAGATTCACTGATTGCAACATACCACCGTGGTGAGGGAAGCTGATAGCGGGAAGGTTGTGTGTTATATGGGAGCTCTCTGTGTTTTCCACTCAATTTGTTGTGAACCCAAAACTCTAAAAAAATAAAGTTTATTAATAAAAAAGAAGAAAAATTGCAAATCAATAGCCTAAACTTCCACCTTAAGAAATTGGAAAAAGAATAACAGGGCTGGGGTGGGGGTGGTTCACACCTGTAATCCCAGCACTTTGGGAGGCCAAGGCGAGAGGATCGCTTGAGGCTAGGAGTTTCAGACTAGCCTGGGCAACATAGTGATACCCCATCCCTACTAAAAATTGAAAAAAAAATTAGCTGGGCTTGATAGCACATGTCTGTAGTTCCAGCTACTAGGGAGGCTGGGGAGGACTGCTTGAATCTGGGAGGCTGAGATTGCAGTGAGCTATGATTGTACCACTGCACTCCAGCCTGGGCAGTAGAGTGAGGCCCTGTCTCAAAAAAAAAAAAAAAAAAAAAAAGGAAAAAAGAAAAAGAAGAGCAAACAAACTAAACCAAAGCATGTAGAAGGAAAAGAAATAATAAAAGACCAGAAATTATTGAAATAGAAAAAGAACGGAAAAAAATCAACAGTTCATTGAACCAAAGTGATAAAAATGTTTAGAGAGAATAATCAAGAAAAAAGGAGAAAAACTGAAATTACTAAAATGATGGATGAAAACATAGGCATTACTACCCACATTACAGAAATAAAAAGGATCAAAAGGGACTACTATGAACAACTGCATGCCAACCAAATTAGATTACTTAGATGAAGTGGAAAAATTCCTAGGAAGACACAGAGTACTCAAGAATAAATAGAACATCTGAATACACCTATAACAAGTAGAGACTGAATCAGTAATTTTAAAAACTTCCCATAAAGAAACACCCAAACCCACATGATTCTACCAAATGTTCAAGGAAGAATGAACACTAATCCTTCACAAACTCTTCCAAAAAATACAGGAGGAGGGAGTACTTCCCAATTTATTCCGTGGACGAACAACTTTACCTTAGGGCAATCATTGCCTACTCCTTCACTGCAGAAATTGATGGTAACAGTCCAGAATGCTTAACCATGAAAATAGGTTCAGACTGATCAGGCACCACAGAGCAGCAGTTAACTCTGGATACACTTAAGTACTTGGGGGAGCTTTTAAAAATCCAAATGCCCACACTGTATCCAGATCTATTATATCAGAATCTATGGGGGTAGGACCCAGACATCAATATTTTTAATAACTCTCTTGGTGACATAACTATAAGAAAACACAAAAGGAAAGCTAAGGGATATGGATGATAGAAGTGCCAAACTTTTTCTATACAGAATCATATCAATCTCCTTCCCCATTCCTGCTAAACTCTCAGAACTGACAGATTAAAACCTAGGACCCCCTGCACTCAATTCTGCTCTTTCCTAGTAGTTAACAGGTGAAATATTGACCAGTGAGGTTGTCTGGTGGTAGCTATAGGAGTGATGATCACAGGCTTTATGGTACCTAGGGCTTTCTAATACAGGACTCACTCCTTCCACTTTCCTTTAATTCACTGGTATTGATGCAGACCAGGGCATGCCCTTTGGCCTTTCCCCAATACAGGAAGAATTAGCAGAATGACAAAGACATAAGGAAGCTTCAGGTAGGAGAAACCATGAACAGAGGCAAGGAATCATGGCTATATGGTGGATGTGGGGGGACCAGATGCAGAACAATTACTAGATCACAAAATTGAAAAGTGTGACATGACACAAGCTGCAGAGCAATTATTCTGTCTCTTACTGGCAAGTGACAGGAACCCAATGCCAACTACTTTAAGCAGAAAAGGGGGTTAAGTTTATTTGCAGAATCCTCAAATACCTCACAGAACGAAGAGTTGTAGAGACTTGGAATGTCAAGGATCAGAATTCAGAGCTGAGTGCCATGGACATCTTTCAGTCTGTCTCTCATCTTGGCTCCCCTCTGGCTTCAATCTCTCATACTGACAAAGAGTAGCACTTCCCCTACTTTCTATTTAGAAAATGTGAGTTATGGACTCTGATAGACACAGCGTGACCACATACACACTTCCATAGCTTGGAAGGGTAAGGACAGTACTACTCTAAAATTGGCATGTTCCTAATAATCGCACAGTTGAAATGGGGGAGCAGTTCCCTTGAAAGAAAGGAAATGCTTTCTGAAAAGACTAGGCAATAAACCATTACAGATAGGCAGAGGCCAGGTCATTGGCAGCTTTTTATGCCCCGGTGGAAGTATTAGAGGACATTAAAGAATTCAAGTCAGATTTATATTTTAGAAAGGTAAGAGTAGCTATATGTGATCAGTGTACTCAAGGAAGTGAAACTATGCGAGAAGAGAAGACATTCCAAAAGACTATGTGAGAGACATCTAGGCCAGCGAGAGTTGAGAGAAGGAGAGGAGGAGTTAGATTTGAGAAACAGGGATTAGGGTTTAAGGATAATTGACTGTGTAGGCAAAATGTAGGCATCAAGGACAACTCAAGCGCTTTCTGTTTTAAATGATAGGAGAATAATAATTCCATTAGCCTCACAGCCTCCCATCATGAGACAATGGTTTCCCTGTCTCACATCTCCCATCATGAGACAGGGAAAACAGAAGCAGGAGATTCAGGTCTGAGGAAAGGTGATAGGCTGTTTCAGCTATTTGAATGTGAGGTGCTTGTGGGCTTCTGGAACATCCAAATATTTGTTAGGCAAACAGCTGGATATAAATAAGATTCTGAAACTCAGGGGCAAGTTCAGGGATAGAAGTATAGATTTGGAAGTTAGCAGTTAAAGCCATGAGAATAGCTGAGATCACTAAATGTAAGTAAACAGAGAAAGAAGTCTGGGGGGTAAAAGCTAGAATCCAGAGGAGCAGTAACATTACAGTTAGAGAGTTGAGGATTTCAGAAAGAAGCCTTAGAGGGAATAGTTAGAGGAACAGGAGAACCGGAGAGTACTATCACAAAACCCAAGAGAGTAGAGATTTAGGTAGAATGATTGCTCACTCATATCCAATGCACTAATGTGGTCTAGCTAAAGGGCTAAATATCACCCACTAAAATGGGCAATATATGAATCACTGGTAACACTAAGCAAGACGAGAAATCAACGAGAAATGTTTGCTGACAGTGAACCCCAAGATAATGAGCTTAATTTGGATATGTTAGATTCTAGGTAACGATGGGGCATTTAAGTGGAAATGCCCAGAATTGAAAATAAGGATAAGAAGTCTAGGCTAGTGACAGTCATTTTGAGTCATTAGTGTGTAGGTAATAGTTGATATCATGGGTGTGAGATTTCTCAAGTAGAATACAGATTGGAACTCTAATGGAAGAAATATTCAAGGGGCTAAGAAAGAGGTATCCATATAAGAGAGTAAGTGGGCCAGATTAGAAGAAAACACAGAACTCACAGAAAAGCCAAGAAAGGTTTCAAGAAGGTAATGATGAATACTATAATGTTTGCTCCCTCTGGAAGGCTTCTTGAGAAGGTGAGGTTGGAGATAGGAGAGGGTTACATACGTTATCTCATCTCCACTTGTAACTAGACAAGAACTCCTGAAGAGAGGAACTTGGTAACCCCTGGGCTGGTACAGAGACTTCTACAAAGCTGGTGTTCCTAAATGTTTATTGGTTTGATCTGCAGACACATGAGAGTCAGGTGCACATAGCACTGTGAGGCACCCAGCTAGGCTGGAGGGGCCATGCTGTTGGCAACAAGTTGAATGAGGAAGGGAGGACAGGATCATTAAAGACCCTGAAATTGGGCAGGAGTTTGAACTTGCTGTAGTACTCCAGGCACCTTCCAAGAAAAGAATGAAGCAGTTTCTTTTTTATTGTTAACAATCCCTCATATAAGAATAGCCCCTTGCAGTTAACAAGGTACTTATGACCATTACCTCAATTATTCCTCACAAAAGCTCTGTGAGTTAAGCATGATTTTACTAATAAGGAAACAGAAGGTTAGAGAGGTTGAATAGACTACTCAGTAGTTAGTAAATGGTAGACCCAGGGCCCAAGCCCAGATTGTTCCTTGCTCTTTCCTCACAATGCTACTGGTTAATTTGGTTTCTGTAGTGGAGTTATAGGCTGAAATGACATTAAAATTCTATTAAATTTGGTTTCCGCAGTAGAGGTTTTAAGCTGAAGTGATATTATTAAAATTATATCCTTTTGAAAAATATTTATTGAGTATAAATAAATGTCCTATACATTAAATATCAAGAAATATTCATAATTGATTACAAGTCAAGATGTAATACTGAGGGAACCATAGAATCAAAATACCCACTCATGATACAGTAGTGATAATTCCATTCCAATAATGGACACAGTAACGACTTGTTCACAAGACACAACAAAACCCATCAAAAAGGCCATCACTTTAACCAACCTATAATACCACAATAGAAAATGATTCTGAATCATAATATGAACAGCCCCAATAATCTCATCTTTGTCTTATCAATTTATCAGGTCATTTTGAGACTGTAGAGTTACACTGTCATAGACTTTTAAGATTCCATTTCCTTAGTTTTATTTCAAATTATTATTAATGAATGAAAACAAGTCATACGAGCTAAAAATACTTTTAAACTGAGTTCGTTTTTCATAAGAAAAAAAGGAATCAAATTTTAGTACGAAGAAAGCATTTCCCAAGCAATGAGTCTCTTAATGGAAAAAATAAAAGAGCAATGTAATTAAACTTTCCTTCAAAGAAAGGAAAGAAACCTAAATCTGTTATGGCAAATTTGGAAAGATAAATATTTCCTAGTCCCATAATATGTGTTTGTTTTACAAGATATGCTTGAATGATGCAAATCTATGAAGCAGGGATCTGTGGCAATCCAAATTCATCCACCAGAACTCCATCCTGTAAAAAGGAAGCAATGTTTAGTGCCACTATTTTTCTATTTGATAAAAAAAAAAAGGATTACAAACATTTAATAGTTAAAACTCATTTCCAAGTATTTAATCAATCAAAACCAAAATCGCAGTCATAAGATGAGAACAAGCTTTTTCATGAAAGGTAAAGGAGGAAGTGATGAATCAAGAAGAGAACTAGAAAGGGCCAAAAGGGGGCTCCTCCACAGGGGAAAGAGAGTGAAAGAGGGAGAAAGAGAAATCTAAGAGTAAACCTGGAAAGGGGAAAAGGAGGCTGGGAGAGTCAAAAAGGAAAGGTTGAGGAGTGGGTCCTTGCCTCCAGATTTGCATTTTCACTCTGGACCAATACCTTTCTTAGCCTCCCAAATCCTTGAAGGAGCAGTGCCCGTGGATAGGCAGTCACTTCCATATCATGCTTTACTATAATCATAGGCAGCGACATCACTATCAATGAAAACACCAGGGCTGCTCTGCCTATGGAGTAGCCATTCTTTTATTCCTTTACTTTAAAAACAACAACAGGCCGGGCGCGGTGGCTCAGGCCTGTAATCCCAGCACTTTGGGAGGCTGAAGCAGGTGGATCATTTGAGGTCAGGAGTTCGAGGCCAGCCTGACCAACATAGTGAAATCCCATCTCTATTAAAAACAAAAAAATTAGCCAGGTGTGGTGAAGCATGCCTGTAATCTCAGCTACTTGGGAGGCTGAGGTGGGTGGATTGCTTGAATCCGGGGGTGGAGGTTGCAGTGAGCTGAGATTGTGCCACTGCACTCCAGCCTGGGTGACACAGCGGGACTCCATCTCAAAAAGATAAAACAACAACAACAACAAAACCCCCATATATCCACAGCATATATAACTCAGGAATCTGTGACCTTCTCAAAGTGGAAATAACATAGATGCTTCAGGGACTTTTTTTTTTTTTTTTTTTTTGAGATTGAGTTTTGCTCTTTTTGCCCAGGCTGGAGTGGTACAATGGCACGACCTCGGCTCACTGCAAGCTCCGCCTCCCGGCTTCAAGTGATTCTCCTGCCTCAGCCTCCCAAGTAGCTGGGATTACAGGAGCCTGCCACCACGCCCAGCTAATTTTTTATATTTTTAGTAGAGACGGGGTTTCACCATGTTGGCCAGGATGGTCTCGATCTCTTGACCTCGTGATCCGCCTGCCCCAGCCTCCCAAAGTGTTGGGATTACAGGCTTGAGCCACCGCGCCTGGCCGCTACAGGGACTTGTTACTAGAAAATTAACAAGGTGGACTATGGTAGTATTAATAAAAATTATTTCATGGGTTGCTGAGAAAAAGCAACCCATGGACCTGGGACCTTGAAGTTGCCAGAGAGGTCGGGGAGGAGTGGGCAGTTCAGAAAGGCAAGACTATCCCAGGCTCAACAGAGAAGGGAAGGATACAATAGAGGAAGATGCATACTCACAGAAACCAGTAATAATGGACCTAAGAAATTACCTGCTCCCTGCCCTTTGCTCTCACATTTTACAGGTAGGAAAAACTGATGAGGTTCAAAAAGAAGACATAAATTTCTGCTATTTTGCTCAAAGTCACACCTTGCCCAGCCTGGTTGTCATTATTAGTGGCTCATGCCTGTAATCCCAGCACTTTGGAAGGCTGAGGCAGGCAGATCACCTGAGACCAGGAGTTTGAGACCAGTCTGGCCAACATGGTGAAACCCCGTCTCTACTAAAAATACAAAAATTAGCCAGGCATGTTGGCGCGCACCTGTAATCGCAGCTACCTGGGGTGGCTGAGGCACGAGGATTGCTTGAACCAGGGGGGCGGAGGTTGCAGTGAGCTGAGATCACGCCACTGCACTCCAGCCTGAGTGACAGAATGAGTCTCTGTCTCAAAAAAAAAGACAATCATGTAGATTTGGACAGAGCTTTAAGTTTGCACAGTCCTTTACATACAAGATCTAATTTGCTTGCACAACAATTACGTGAGATACTTGTAATTATCTGCATTTTACAGATGCAAGGAAAAGAAAAGCTTACAATAGCTAAGTAATTAGTCATACTTAGTGTCAGGTGTTCTGATTCTTTTGCCTTAAATTAGAATCTTTCTACATTAAGTTTTATGCTTAAATTATTAATCCATAGTTTAGAAAATCCACCCATTCTAAACTCCTGTGTGTACAGGAAAAAAAAAAAAGAAAAAGAAAGGAAAATAAAATTAAAAATCCAGCCAGTAATTAACTGGTGTGTATGAAGAGTGAGACTTTTTCACTGCTGCCTAGCAAGTCTCATGCATGTGTTGCTTACGCTTTTACAGGAAATGTCTAAGACCCATCAATGGTACCCAGTGCCAGCTCACAACAAGGGTGATCATGTATGTTACACAAATTGTCATTCTATAAAAATATTCCTGAGCCTCAGTGACAGTGTTTATGCAGTCAGTTCATCATCCAATGCAGAAAAACCGGACCTTCAAGGGTTCACAAAATAATGACCAGGACTGTCTTTCTTTGTTCTAATGTTAAGACTACCTTTTAGATTCCCAGACTTATGGTCAAGCATAAAGCCTTTGCTATTTTGCATTGAAATATAAACAGAAAAAGCTTTCACCTTGTTTTTTGTATCAGTGGGAACACCTTCTGGAATTGCAGGTGCAGATGCTGCCTCATCCAAATAAGAACTGTCTTCATCAGCCAGAAGCTCATCACCTAGTGCATCCAACTCTGAGATTGAAACAGTCAACATTTAAAAAAAATGTAACCAAGAAAACTGGCAGCTAATAATTTCTCTCATTTATCGATGGACTTGAAAGAAGGCAGTGAAGAGGGCATGAGATTGTTGTATGCTGTGTGACCATTACGTGAAATCAGACTCCAAAAATAAGTCTGTGGTAAAATGAGTTGGAAGTGGCCAAGAGGAATGACAATAGCAGGTAGAGACTTATCAGGGGCAATTGAAGATGGGAAATTAAAAAATAAAGAAATAAGTGGAAAAAAAATGAAAGGTTCTAGGCAAAAATAGACCATGGAGAGAGCGGGAAAGCAGCAGTAGTAATGTAACAGGGGAATCACACAATAGAAATCCAGTGTGGAATGGTTCTGTCATCTACCCAGTTACTCATGCTAGAAACTGACAGCCACCCTTGACACCTCCCACTTCTTCCACATCCTGTCAATCATTAAGTCTTGTCCACTCAATTTTCTAAGATGTCTTCAATCTGTCCACTTCTGTCTGTTTCTGCTACCATCACCCTAGCTAGTCTCGGCCACCATCATCTCTTAAATGGCTATCGCAATAACTTCCAGACTGCTCTCCCTGAGGCCATTCGACAACCCTTCTCATTTTTTCATGCTATCCCCTACTCACCCTTCAGGTCCCATGCCTCTCTCCCACTACTAACTAGGTTAGAGTCCCTTAGTATGTGCTCCCATGCTACCCCATACTTCTTCCCTATAGTCTGTGCTCTAGTAATTAATTACTTGAAGCAAACCATTTATGTCTTCCACTGCTAGAGAAGGTTCATGAATGTAGGGGCTGCATTTTTATTCAGTGCTAAATTCCCACCACCTAGTAGAGTACCTGGCATAGAGTAGATGCACACTAAGTATTTGCCAACTATTCTTTTTTTTTTTTTTTTTTTTTTTTGAGAGAAGGTCTCACTCTGTTGCCCAGGCTGCAGTGGGGCAATCTCGGCTCACTGGAACCTCTACCTCCTGGGATCAAGTGATCCTTCCACCTCAGCCTCCCGAGTAGCTAGGACCGCAGGCGCACACCACCATGCCTGGGTAATTTTTGTATTTTTTATAGAGACGGGGTGACGCCATATTGCTCAGCCAGGTCTCGAACTCCTGGGCTTGAGTGGATCCGCCTACCTTGGCCTTCCAAAGTGCTGGGATTAGGGCACCTGGCCCTAATTATTGTTTCTTAATTGGTTTTGCTGTTCTGAGGGAGAGGACTCCAACTAGGAAAATAGTGAGAACAAAATCAAAAGGAATACAGCAAGGAAAGGCCACGTGGAGGACACTTACAGATACCAAGCACCAGGTCAGCCTGTACCTGGACTTCCTTCAGAGTTGATCCATCCCACTGTTGTTGGTGGAGTATGCAATCTGATGTGGCTGCCTCACAAGCTCTTTGCCCAGGGACAGTACCATAAACTAACCTTCAGGAAATCCTGATAGAAATTTTCACTAGCATTTGAGAAAAGGTCCCAGGCAGCTGTTGCTTTTGGACTCCAAAACTAAATATACATTACTTTTCTCATAACTTACCTGCTTCTAAATCATCTTCATCCAGTTCTGGGGTGCCATAACTGCGACTCAGTGCTTCTTGGATTTCATTTGCATCTTCCATCATATCCTCTAGCTGGTCTTGTAAATCCTACGGAAATATATATGAGAGGATTTTCTCTCATTTACCATTTTCTTTTAACTACCCTTTTCCCCTACATTCTCCTTTGAATCTAGACATGAGCAATTTTTAAAAAGATAATGTATATAAAATGCCAAGCACATAAACAGTTCTCAACAACTGTTAGTTCACCTCCCCTATCCCAGTCTTTGGCTAGCAATTTTTTAATGTTAACAACTGAGCAGACACTCCTCTAAAGGACAGGTTCAAGTAACTCTTAAAACATCCCTTCTAATTAAAAGTATGAGAGAATGCTTAAAGAATTAAAAACCATAAGCCCAAAGACCTCCTCTAACAATAATTATGAATGTTACTGACCCACATAATCCCTTGCCTATTTTTGGTGGCAAAATGTGAACTTAAAGAATAGAATTGATGATCTCTCATTTTATTTTTTACTTTATTTATTTATTTATTGAGATGGAGTCTCGCTTTGTCACCCAGGCTGGAGTGCAATGGTGCAATCTCAGCTCACTGCAACCTTCACTTCCCGGGTTCAAGTGATTCTCCTGCCTCAGCCTCCAAATAGCTGACATTACAAGTGTGCACCACCACGCCTAGCTAATTTTTGTATTTTCAGTAGAGGTGGGGTTTTGCCATGTTGGTTAGGCTGGTCTCAAACTCCTGACCTCAGGTGATCTGCCCACCTCAGCCTCCCAAAGTGCTGGGATTATAGGCATGAGCTACTGTGCCCGGCTGGATTTGATTTTAAAGTGCCTCATGGAAGCCCAAAGTCCTATGTGAGAATAGATGATTGTCAGCTGTCTACTATTACAGAAAGTTTTACTTGAAACATTAAATCAAGCAATTATCTTGATCTAAACTGTCAATCATTTTCTAGTTAATGAAGACAGGGAGGTTACTGAGACAAGCAAATTATTCTTCTCAAGTCAGCGAAAGACAGATTACACTGTGTAGAGAAAGGAGGCAAGAGTAGAAACAACTGAAGTGGTACAAAAAGTGAGTTGTACATGGGCCCACCCTGGATGGAGAATCAGAAAGGGAATCAGGATAGGTGTCACAGCCAAGACAAGGCTGGTGAAAAAAATGGACCAAGGGCATAAACCCTGTGTGAATAATCTACCTGTGCTTAACTGGGAGATTACTACAAGGCTAAAAATGCAGTTGTCCCTTGGTACACGCAAGGGATTGGTTCCAGGATGTCTGTCTATACCAAAATCTGCCCACACCCAAGTCCCCAGTTGGTCCTCCATATGGGTGGTTTCGCATCCTGCAAACACTATATTTTCGATCCTCGTTTGGTTGAAAAATATCTGCATATAAGTGACTCGTGCAGTTCAAACTGCATTTGCTGTTCAAGGGTAAACTGTAATATGAAACCAATCTAAGAAGTGGTATAGCATAACAAAGGGCAGCTGGTATAATGGTTAGGAGTGAGACTCTGGAGTCAGATATACCCAAGTTCAATTTTGCCATTACTCAATGAGAAGTAATGTCTCTAAGCCTTATTTTCCTCATCTGTAAAATGGAATTATTAATAGCCATATCTGGCCAGGCGCGGTGGCTCATGCCTGTAATCCTAGCACTTCAGGAGGCCAAAGTGGGTGGATTGCCTGAACTCAGGAGTTCGCAACCAGTCTGGGCAACATGGTGAAACCCCATCTCTACTAAAATACAAAAAATTAGCCAGGCATGGTGGCATGCGCCTGTAATCCCAGCTACCCGGGAGGCTGAGGCAGGAAAATCGTTTGAACCCAGGAGGCAGAGGTTGCAGTGAGCCGAGATCGCGCCACCGCACTCTAGCCTGGGCGACAGAGCGAGACTCTGTTTCAAAAATAAATAAATAAATAAAATAGCCATATCTCACTGGGGTTATTGTAAGGATTTATTGCAATAATATATGTAAAACACTAAGCACCTAATACTATATATATTTTACTGTGTTAATTATGTGCGGAACAACAATACACTCTTCATATACTAAAATTCCACACAGACAGGAACAGAACTAGTGTTGATAAAGCAAAAGGACCAAATCAGCACCATTTATCCTTCAGAATTTCTAAAGCAATGCAAGACATTTGAAAATTCTGCTGGGTGCAGTAGCTTATGCCTGTAATCCAAGCACTCTGGGAGGCAAAAGAGGGCGGATCACTTGAGCTCAGGAGTTTGGGACCAACCTGGGGAACATGGCAAAACCTCATCTCCACAAAAAAATACAAAAATTAGCTGGGCATGGTGCATGCTTGTAGTCTCAGCTACTCAGGAGACTGAAGTAGAAGGATGGCTTGAGCCTGGGAGGCAGAGGTTGCGGTGAGCTGAGACTGAGTCACTATAATCCAGCCTAGGCAACAGCAAAAAAAAAAGAAAAAAGAAAATTCCTTCCTGGCCCCCATAAAGGTGAAAGGTGAAAAGGGTAGTAAAATGGAGGGGAAATTTTTTTTTTAAACTTTGATTTTCTGTATTTCCAAGTACCAAACTGCCAAATTATATGCATATTTAACACTCTGCTACACAGAGAAGCACTGGCTGAGTAATAATTAAAGACAATGAAAATAACATAGAGAAAGCTAATCAAGTCAAGCTTATACAATAGTATTACACATCAAGACACATCTTCCCGGATCATCTATGAATAGGATTCCTAGCAAGACTCCAGGATAGACACAGAAAAAATTTATCCCACAAACCATTAACTGGTTCTCTATTGTATAAACAAACAAAAGCAATATAAAAAAAAAAAGCACTAAGCTAAAAAGAACATTGACAAAGTGATATGCAGCAACTGAAAAAGCAGAAGAAAAACAGACCTACACACACACAACAGCAAAATAAAAAGTTAAAGCTATAAAACAATGAAAATATTTTCTAAGTAAAGCATTTTAGGAAAATAAATCTGACCAAAAAATTCGATCTAACCAAAGACACATACACACCAAAAGAGTTAAAGGGGCTCTCCACCTGTCATGCTGGCAATCTATTGGAGGACAGGAAAAGGATAATTAGGCAGGGAGACAGACAGACAACCACAGGTGAAAGACGAAGAGACATACAAAGCATTCACCAAGACCAAAGTTTCTCTTTTGTTCCTATTAAATAGCTTTAATTAAAACACAAGGAACCCTAAAAGCAGAAAATACCATTGCATTTCATTATATTTTAATGGCAAATGATATTATACAAAAAAAAAAATGGCTGGGAGTGGTGGCTCATACCTGTAATCCCAGCACTTTGGGAGGCCGAGGTGGGCGGATCACTTGAGGTCAGGAGTTTGAGACTAGCCTGGCCAACATGGCGAAACCCCATCTCTACTAAAAAAATACAAAAATTAGCTGGGTGTGGTGGCAGGCACCTGTAATCCCAGCTATCTGGAAGGCTGAGGCAGGAGAATTGCTTGAACCCAGGAGGCGGAGGTTGCAGTGAGCCGAGATCACACTGCACTCCAGCCTTGGTGACAGAACGAGACTCTGTCTCAACAACAACAACAAAAAAAGACAAGCATATACAGAACACTTTCATCAGTGAAGCTCTTAGAGAGTATCACAAAGTTTAATTCCATGTATGCAAACATTTGTGGAGGATTAGAGACAGACAAAGGCAACCTAAGAGGGATGCTTGAAAAAATAAGAGAGGGGAGGAATGCCTTCACTCTTTTATTTTTTTTTGAGACGGAGTCTTGCTCTGTCGCCCAGGCTGGAGTGCAGTGGCGCAATCTTGGCTCACTGCAAGCTCTGCTCTCGGGTTGCCATTCTCCTGCCTCAGCCTCCCGAACAGCTGGGACTACAGGCACACACCACCATGCTCGGCTAATTTTTTGTATTTTTGGTAGAGACAGGGTTTCACCGTGTTAGCCAGGATGGTCTTGATCTCCTGACCTCATGATCCACCCGCCTCGGCCTCCCAAAGTGCTGGGATTACAGGAGTGAGCCACCATGCCCAGCCTGCCTTCACTCTTACTAAAGATCAGCTTTATGAGAGAATATCTTTGCAGAGGCAATAAAATGCCTGGTATTTTAACAAACACTGCTTGAATCAGGCTGTACTGCTTTCTCTCTTTTTTTTTTTTTTTTTGCTTTATCTCCCTTTATAGCCTCTGATTCATCAACCAGCAAATACTTTCTGAGCACCAACCATGGCAGGGCATTGTTATGGGCACTGGGGACACAGTAGTGAACAAAATCAAGTCCCTGCATTCAAGGAAATGGACATTCTAGTCAGGGGGGTAAAGGTCAAGAGCGCCATTTTATATGCAGAAAGGAAGCCTCTCTCCTCTGACCAGTCACCACTCACTCCCTCTGCTATCTCTTCTTGCCACCTGGGCTGTTCATCTGACAGCTGAGAGCTGCCAAGCTCTTAGGGCTCATCTCCCTGGTCAAAACCCAATTCCAATAAGAAATGCTAACTTTAAGGAACTAATGACATTATTATTAAAAATCTAAAGAGAATTACTAGAAAAGGGAACCAAGTCTACCACGCCAGGAGTTGGGTTAAACATTTTACATACACTTTACCTACATACCTTCATTTAACACTCATGACAATCCTGGGAATAGGCAACAACACCACTACCATCGAAGAAACAGACTAAATATCATCGAATTAGTTAAAAGTAACTACTGGATGCTTATCATAGGCCAGGCATTGTGTGTGTAGAGATACTAGCTCATTTATTTCATCCTCATAATATAGAAGTTCCTTGACTTATGATAGGGTTACATCCTGATAAACCCATCTTAAGTTCAAAATATCTTAAGTAGAAAGTGCATTCAATACACCTAACTTACTGAACCATCACTTAGCCTAGCCTACCTTAATTGTGCTCAGAACACTTACATTAGCCTACAGTTGGGCAAAATCATCTAACAGCCTATTTCATAATAAAGTGTTGAGTATCTCATGTAATTTATTAAATATTGTATGGAAACTGAAAAACAGAATGGTTACGTGGATACTCAAAGTATGGTTTCTACTGAATGCATATAGTTTTCGCACCATCATCAAACTGAAAAATCGTTAAGTTGAACCGTCTTAAATCGGGGACTGTCTGTAACTGTATGTGGTATTAGGATCCTTGCACTGAGGAAACTGAGACATTTGGTACCCTTTCTCGAAGTTACTCTACTAGTAAATGGCAGCCCCAAGATTCAGTTCCTCTCCTGTGCTCTTCCTATCACATGCACACTCGTTTGGATTCTCTCAGAAACTAGTGCACATTCTTGCAGAAACTAGCATATGTCTCACCTCAATCTGGTCGATCTTCACTTGCTTGTATGCCTTCTTCATTTCCTTTACTCCCAGTTTCATAGCATCAACCTAAGAAAAGGAAGAAGAAAACACAATGTTTTAGTAAGTCATGTTGGTTAAATTGTCTTTATTTATTTATTTATTTATTTGAGACAGAGTTGCACTCTTGCTGCCCAGGCTGGAGTGCAATGGCTCACTGCAACCTCCGCCTCCTGGGTTCAAGTGATTCTCCTGCCTCAGACTCCCAGGTAGCTGGGATTACAGGTGCACGCCACCACACCCAGCTAATTTTTGTATTTTTAGTAGAGGCAGGGTTTCACCATGTTGGTCAGGCTGGTCTCAAACTCCTGACATCAGGTGATCCACCCACCTCAGCCTCCCAAAGTGTTGGGATTACAGGCGTGAGCCACTGTGCCTGGCTGGTTAAACTGTCTTTAAAAAGCCATCGGAAAAGAGAATAAGAATAAATACATGAAATAACAGGAAAAGGTGTTTTGGGAGTACCGTGGTCTTGGTGTCCTTCAAAGACTGGATGGTATAATTGGCTTGTTCCATGTTGAATGACTGTTGGGCAAGATTGTCCCGCTGCTGCTCATACCTTTTTAGAGTCAATTGAGAATGGCAAATATATGAACCAGATAGAAATCCTCAAGAACAAAGTATCCCCACACTAAATAAGAGTATTTAAAAAAAAAACAACGGAACAAAAAACTTAAAAATTAGGTATCACGCAGAAAAATTGGCAAAAACAATTTAATCACTCTAACACAAATATCATTTGATGTGTCCCTCCAGTCTTTTTCCTTTGCATGTACAGTCATGCATCGCTTAACAATGGGGATATGTTCTGAGAAATATGTTGTTAGGCACTTTCATCATTGTGCAAACATCAGACAATGTATTTACACAAACCTAGGTGGTATAGCCCACTATTCACCTAAGCTATATGATATAGCCTACTGCTTGCTCCTAGGCTACAAACCTGTACAGCATGTTACTGTACTGAATATTGTAGCCAATTGTAACACAATGGTATTTGTGTATCTAAACATCCTATAGAAAAGGTACAGTAAAAATACAGTATTATAACCTTATAGGGGCCAGAGTGGTATAATGCAGTCTGTTCTGTCATTCATTGACAAAAACATTGTTATGCAGCACATGACTGTATTTTAGTTATAACACTATTTTCCACTTAACATTATAGCATTTGCTTTTTTCTGTGTTGCTGCATATCTTTTTTTTTGAGACAGAGTTTCACTTTTGTTGCCCAGGCTGGAGTGCAATGGTACGATCTCGGCTCACTGCAGCCTCCACCTTCCTGGGTTCAAGAGATTCTCCTGCCTCAGCCTCCGGAGTAGCTGGGATCACAGGCATGCGCCACCACGCTTGGTTAATTTTGTATTTTTAGTAGAGACGGGTTCTTCCATGTTGGTCAGGCTGGTCTCGAACTCCCAACCTCAGATGATCCGCCCACCTCGGCCTCCCAAAGTGCTGGGATTACAGGCATGAGCCACCGCACCCGGCCTGCTACATATCTTAATAAGGCTTTATAATTATTTTCTATGATAAATATACAGAAGTGAAATTCTTAGAGCAAAGGGTAAAACTATTTTTAAGGCTCTTCATACATATAGCTAAATGGTTTTCCAGAATTTTGAACTCCTTGAAGACAGGCATATTTTATTTTGTTTATTTATTTACTTATTTATTTGTTTAGAGCCAGTCTTGCTCTGTTGCCCAGGCTGGAGTATAGTGGTGCCATCTCAGCTCACTGTAACCTCTGCCTCCTGGGTTCAAGCGATTCTCCTGCCTCAGCCTCCCAAGTAGGTGGGATTACAAGCGCATGCAAACACGCCCAGCTAATTTTTGTATTTTTAGTGGAGATGGGGTTTCACCATGTTGGCCAGGCTTATCTCCAACTCCTGACCTCAAGTGAGCTTCTGTCTTGGCCTCCCAAAGTGCTGGGATTATAGGTGTGAGCCACTGTGCCCAGCCCCAGGTGTTTTATTAATTTTGCACCCATAATTAGGTAATCCATCTGACCTAATGTGTGGTGTTCAAAATGTTTTTAAAATACAGTTTTATATCAAATTATAATATTACCTCAAAGACTTATGTCACTATGTTCTTTATACAATATTGGAAACAATCTAACTATCCAACTAGAAAAAGAATGGTCCGTTCATGGTGCAAGCAAATGGTAGAATATTATAATCTCATTAAAAAGTGTAAAGTTTCCAAAGAATATTTAAAAGAACAGGGAGATGCTCATGATATAACATTAAGTGGAAAAGGAAAACCTACATATACACACTACAATTTCATTTCTTCTAAAAAGTTATATGCACACATACCACGTATGCAGAAGCAGAGGAAAGAAACTGGAAGAAATTAGCATTTTAAAGGTGGTTATTTCTAGTAGTAAGAATCTAGGTAAATTTTATTTTCTTCTGTTCATATTTATGTATTTTCCAAGTTTCTACAATGAACCTATATTCTTTTTATAACAAAAAAGGTTACTTAAAACTAGCAATGCCACCAATTAAGAAGGTAAATCATTTCACCACACCCTCACCAGTCTAGGCATTACAATTTCTTTTTCCAATTTGATCTAATCTAAAAGGAGGAAGATGGCATCTGGTATCTTATAAAAAGTCATTTTAATATAGGAAGAGAGACACTGACAATCTTTCTGGCTCCTCGATAGCTAATTATACCTGACCTCTATAACCCTGCAGAGGATCTCATCAGCTGAACAGTCTACAGAGGTAGGCACCAAAGATACTAGTTAGCTTCTGCTCAAAATTGGGACATAGTCACCTAAAACAAATTAAGGATCTTTAAATTTATTCTGGTGGGAGGGAACAAACATTTAGGATTCCTAACTTCACAAACAAAAACAAAAAAGGTACACTCTAAAATAAATAATAGGAAAACCAAACCCTACAGATCTGGTCAGTCCAAAACAGTAGTCACTAACCATATAAGGCTACTTAAATTATTTAAATTGAATAAAATTTAAACTTCATTTCCTTAGTCACACTAGCCACATTTCAAGTGCTCAATAGCCACATGTTGCTAATAGCTACTGTATTGAACACACAGATATAGAGCATCTCCATCATGGCAAAAAGTTCTATTTAGATGGAAGTTGTTACAACAGATAACAACCCAGCTAACTGTATTTAATTACACGTCAATGAAAATTTGTAATTAAATCAAGAGTGCTTAGAAAATAGTATGAAAACCTGAAGGAATGGAAGACCATTTCTCTTTTAGTTAAACCTGCTAGAGGTAGAAATTGTGTGTGTAACTTACATCCTCTTTTGCTTTAAAACTCGCAAGGCTTTCTGCTTGACCATATTCTGGAGAGAAAAACAGATTTAATAAAAATAAGGTGGAAAACACATATACGGTAAAAGAAATTTCCCATAGCCTCAAACTCACATGCCTACTTCCTCTCTTCTTCAAAGTAGTAGGCATAATGGCTCCTGGATTCTGTACTTCCCCTCCCAAAAACAGGTATCTCTAAGGTCCAGTCTTTAAGCCTTTGCTCCTATCTGTCTTTGCATCCCACATCCCAGAGTCCTCAACTACTTTCTCTTTTCCTAATGCATATTATCTCTGCCTCTAGCCCCAAAAGTGCTGAGTCTGTATATCCAGTTGCCTTAGGGAGATTCTTCACTTGTACAGCCCATCAACTTAACCTCAACAATTCCAAACTCCTGAACCTTATCTCACCTTTGAAATAAGTAACAATGGCCCACCAATCTCTCACCTCTCTAGGTTGAAAACCTTTTTATCAACCTTATCTTTCCTCTTTCTGTTGTTTCTTCATGCACAGTCATCCTGTTAGCTGATTTCAGAACTCACTTTCAAACTGATTCTTTGGTTTCCTACCACCATGGTTTGGGCTTTCATTGTCTCAAATCTAAATGGGCTTTCCTACCTCTGGTTGCTCTTCATTCCACACCATCCACTAAGATGGCTGGGAAAAGCCTTCCTTTTCTATAGAATTCTGTAGATCATTTTATTTGTCTTCTCCAGTGAGGAAGGAAAAACAGGTATTATTACTTCACAGATGATCATAACTCATATTTACTGAGTACTACTTTATCCTAGACATAGTGGTACACAGGTCACATCAATTACCTCATTTAATCCTCATACTGTAAGGTGGGTATTATCTCTGTTTTACAGATGGGGAAAGAGAGGTTCAGTGATACCCAGGCTCACATGGTTAATAAGTTATGGATCTGGAAAAAACAAGGTAGTTCTATATCCACAGTCCATGTGCTTAAACACAGTATTTTATGTTTCTACCTAACAGGAGTGGAAAATAAGTGACTTTATCAAGGTCACAACTAGAAGGCAGTGACAGTGTATTAGAACACTGGTCCCAGATGCCTAGTTCAGTTTTTCCCAGCAGGCCACTCCTTAAGCAGTCTAATATACCAACCTAACCTGACCAGCTTAGCAAGTCATTGATCTTGAGCACAGCCTAGTCTTCCTCTCCAGATTACCACCTTCTCAGTATAATATGCTAATTCTCATGTACATGCTTTTAGACGTGTGACCAGCATCTCTTTCCACCAGATCAATCCCCAGCCTCCCTTCCATATTTGATTGCAAACTCTCCTCCCTAAAGGATACACCCTCACATGTTTTCTCCTTACCAGACTGTAAGCATCTCTTCTGTAGGGATGCTCACAGCCCCTGCACTAGGTCCTATTTCACTTATTTTTTGAGACGGAGTCTCACACTGTCACTTGGGCTAGAGTGCTATGGTGTGGTCTCTGCTCACTGCAACCTCCGCCTCCCAGGTTCAAGCGATTCTCCTGCCTCAGCCTCCTGAGTAGCTGGGATTACAGGCGCCTGCCACCATGCCCAGCTAAGTTTTTGTATTTTCAGTAGAGACAGGGTTTCGCTATGTTGGCCAGGCTAGTCTCAAATGCCTGACCTCGTGATCCACCCGCCTCAGCCTCCCAAAGTGCTGGGATTACATGCATGAGCCACTGCGCCCAGCCGAACTAGGCCCTATTTCTATAGGTGCTAAAACTAGGCTCTGCCAGCACCTTGTGCAGCAGTTGCTGCCCACCTTACCTTTGCAGGACCCTCTCTCATCTTCTTGATCTGATCCTTATACTTCACTAGCTCAGCATCCAATCGAGAAATCTTCTTGTCAATGGATTCTGCTCTACTGTCCACCTTAGGGGAAAATATCAAATGCACTGGTAGTTACTGCAATACACTTATTCCAGAAGGGGCAGGTAGAGAGGAAGGAATACAGAGGAAGAAAAGAGGAGCTTAAGGGGAAGGGTGAAAAACAGTGGTTCACAAAGAAGGGTATTCCCAACCAGAAACCCTGGGCTTTATAAATTATTCTCTTACCCCCCGCCACACTGCCCCGATTCTGATATACCAGGTAGCCTTCAAGTGGGTTGGGGCAGAAAATAATTTGAGAATCACTGAGTTGAGTTGGAATTTCCCTAGAATCAGAGACTAGCCAGGCTGAGAGTTCCTCCAAGAGGCACATGAAATGGGCCAGTGCCAAGTGAAACCAGCTGATTGTAGATCTAATGCCATTCCCTAAATCGGGGATGGTGGCTTAATCTGAGGGGCTAGGGTTCTGAGTTTTGTGTTACTGAGATCCAGGACGAAGGCACAGATATGTTGACCTAGGATATCAAGCTGAGTCCTGATGTGGACTGGGGATGACAGATGGAAGAAGGGTAAGGGATCAGGCAGGATGAGGTGGGAAGGGTGTATGGGCCTAGGGCTGGGTGAGGTGAGAGGATCAAGGCGAGAGCGAGTGGACGGGCAATGGGCATCAAAACGGGTTGGGTGCTGGCAGGGCAAGGCAGTGATGGGGTTAGGGGTTCCCTGGTTTGTGGCGTTAGGAATGACTTGGGTAACAGGGATGAAGGGGAGAAGGTGAGATAGAGAGGGACGACGTGTAAGGGGCCCAGGACCCGAAATGAAGTGGAAGAATATGGGCCCGGGGCTGGGGGTGGGCGGGGTCGGGTGTGTCAGAGGTCCTGAGCCTACTTATGCATGATCAAATGCCCACCGTGCCAATGCAGTCAGTCAGGCTGGGCGGCGGAGCCTTGGGTTTCGCTTTCCCGAAGAGTCGGTTCATCTTGAGCAGCCGCGAAGAAACCCAAACACTAGAGCAAAACCAGAAACGGAAGCAGAGTCACTCCCGCCTCGACTTCCGGCCCCTCCGTGCGCAAGCGCAATATGCCTCCTGGCGTTTCCCGATTCTTTTTCCGGATTTTCAGCCGGGTCTTCCGGGGATGGAGAGCAAAAGGACTTGGTGCTCTCGGAGAGAGCCTGCAGGGGGCGGGGTGTTGGTAGAAGGAGTGGGAGGGGTTTTACTGTAGCAAGGCGGGGCCTCAGTTGAGTGGGTGGGGCCTGGAGGCAACTAACGCGGCATAGGGCGAGGGCGGGGCCGGCAGGCCGGGGCGGGGCTGGGAAGTAGTCGGGCGGGGTTGTGAGACGCCGCGCTCAGCTTCCATCGCTGGGCGGTCAACAAGTGCGGGCCTGGCTCAGCGCGGGGGGGCGCGGAGACCGCGAGGCGACCGGGAGCGGCTGGGTTCCCGGCTGCGCGCCCTTCGGCCAGGCCGGGAGCCGCGCCAGTCGGAGCCCCCGGCCCAGCGTGGTCCGCCTCCCTCTGGGCGTCCACCTGCCCGGAGTACTGCCAGCGGGCATGACCGACCCACCAGGGGCGCCGCCGCCGGCGCTCGCAGGCCGCGGATGAAGAAGAAAACCCGGCGCCGCTCGACCCGGAGCGAGGAGTTGACCCGGAGCGAGGAGTTGACCCTGAGTGAGGAAGCGACCTGGAGTGAAGAGGCGACCCAGAGTGAGGAGGCGACCCAGGGCGAAGAGATGAATCGGAGCCAGGAGGTGACCCGGGACGAGGAGTCGACCCGGAGCGAGGAGGTGACCAGGGAGGAAATGGCGGCAGCTGGGCTCACCGTGACTGTCACCCACAGTGAGTGTCGGGCGCCAGGTGGGCTCCATGCAGGTCCCGAAAGCCCGGCGGGGTCTGTGGGTTTAGTCACGTGTCCTCCAGAAGCGTGTGACCTTGCGCTTGTCCTGGCGTCCGGAAGCGTGGGTTATTGGTTGTGTCCGTGGAACTGTCTTTTGTCCCGGGCTTGTGTCTGTACACTTTTCCATGTGGCCGGTGTATTTTGTCTCTGGTCATTTGTGCGATCCTGGGTGTTTGAGCTTCTCCGTGCTTTACGTCGTGGGCCTGGTTGTGTTTGTGTGCCCGCGCAGTTATTGTGCCCTTTGTGTCAGGCATATATTGGGCCATGTGGTCTACGACTGCTCCGTGTGTGATAAGTCAGAACTTCGTGCATGCCGGGGTGCTCCTCGTGTGCTGAGTGCCTTCTCCGTGTGCGCCGCTTGAGTTGGCCGTGGGTCCAAGCGTTGTACTCTGGGCACCCTTTGGGTCTGCCTACTGTTGGAGTTGACACACCACCAAATGAAGTCAGTACACCGGAGAGCTGAGTCCATGAGGTTTCTCTAGAACCAGCTAGGGGAGGCCCAAGGGTCTGGGAATCTGGAGACCTGGATTCTAGATCCTGCGGTTTTGAGTGACCTTGGGATGGACGGCTTCTTCTAAGAATCCGGTTTCTCCTCTGTGAAGTAGATTTGGTAACCCTGGCTCCTGCTGACCTCACGGAGCTGTTGGGGGAACCAAACCTTGGTGTAATGTACTGTACACAGGCTCCCTCCTTGCTGTCCGCATCCCTGGAAAAGAATTGGCGTCTCTTCTTCAGAAAGAAAGGCTCTGCTGTTCGTATGCATTTGTCTGTTTACTTAGCACAAATCATGGATGCACTCAAGTGTGTTCAGTGGGAGAGACTTGGAGGAAAACAGTCACTTGCCCATTACAGCAAGCGAGACGAGACCAATACAATACAGGGTACAGGGCAGTCAAGCCACAGGAAGCAGATGGCTTGTGATGAAAAAGGTGGGCTTGGGAATCAGCTAGATCTGATATCAACTTCTGATTCCAACAGTTGAGTCTCCATAGGCAGTCCTTAACTTGCCTGAAGTCACAGTTTGCTCATCTGTGAAATAAGAAGTAATAGGTAGATCTACTTCGTGGGGTTTATCTGAGGATTAAATTAGATTATGCATGAAATGCTTAAAATGTTAGCAGATATCATTCATATTGTTAGTTATTATAATAGAGGAAACAGAGATACTTGAGGAGGTCACCAGAGGAAAGCTGGGTGGCATGGGGGCAGGCTCTGTGGAGTAGGTGGCATATGAGCTGGGCCTTGAAGGCTGGGTAAATAAATGTGATAAAGTGTCATCCTATATTGGTGTATGTGAAAGAATCATATTCGTCAAATGCTTTTCTTTCTCCCCAGGCAATGAGAAGCACGACCTTCATGTTACCTCCCAGCAGGGCAGCAGTGAACCAGTTGTCCAAGACCTGGCCCAGGTTGTTGAAGAGGTCATAGGGGTTCCACAGTCTTTTCAGAAACTCATATTTAAGGGTAAGCATTTCTTTTTCTTTCTTTCTTTTTCTTTTTTTTTTTTTGAGACGAAGTTTCACTCTTGTCGCCCAGGCTGGAGTGCAATGGCACGATCTAGGCTCACTGCAACCTCCGCCTCCCGGATTCAAGTGATTCTCCTGCCTCAGCCTCTCAAGTAGCTGGGATTACAGGTGCATACCACCATGCCCGGCTAATTTTTGTATTTTTAGTAGAGACAGGGTTTCACCATGTTGGCCAGGCTGGTCTCGAACTCCTGATCTCAGGTGATCCACCCGCCTCGGCCTCCCAAAGTGCTGGGATTACAGGTGTGAGCCACTGCACCTGGCCAAGGGTAAGCATTTCTTTTCCGGCTTTTCCTTATGGCCAAAGGACAGTTTTAAAACTGCTGAACTTTTCCTAATAGTCACTCTGTTTTCAAACTGGGACAATTTTTATTTATTTGTTTATTCATTCAGTTCTTCAACAGATATTTATTGAGGACCTGCTAGGTATTGGACACTCTCAAACACCTGGACAGGTGTCAGATTTGAAGTCTTATGATGATGGCAGAAATCTCACCATTTTCGATGAAGCTCATGGGCAGTCTTCCCTCGCTAGGTTAGATCATCTTCCCATTATATGTTACCATGGTACTCCCTGCTATTTTTGCATCACTTCTATGAAATTACTATTAAATAATCATTTTCTTAGTTGCTTAACATCTGATTTCTCTGTTAAAATAACAGCCTCCGTGAGGGTGGAGATACTGCTGTGTTTCCAGTGCCTCCCATTGTTCTGACTCAAAGGAGGTTTTGAGCAAACTTACCTGAGGCCTGGATGTGGCGGGCTCAGTGGATGCATGATGCTCATTTCTGCCAGGACCCACACCCTCCTGGCCCCTGCCCTCTGTCTTCCCACCCCCCTGAGAATCTATCATTCTGGTATCCACTGGGGAAAGACTTACCCCATTGGGTGTCAGTCATTATAAAGAATTTAGTAATAGGAGGCATTTTTATTTATATTTCATAGTGTAACATATTGTCTTTAATTTTTAAAAATATTTTATTTCTGAATTATAAAGACAATAGAAATTCATGTTTCAAAATAGAGGAATGCATGAAAAAGAAAATGTTCCCCTGGATAAAACCCCTCATAATAACACTGTGTCATCAGCATTCATTGTGGTATTGGGGTTTCCTGCAAAAAATGAGCTTTAATGGCTACTGTAGACCTTAATGCCTACTGAAGACTTTAAAGTCTTCTGTAGTGTGGTTCGTTGGTCCCTGATTCCTGAATATTTGGCTCTTTCCAGTTTCTCACTATTATGAAAAGGTTGCACTGAATATTATCGTATAGTAGTTACTGTGGAGTCGCATGTCCAATTATTTGTTTAGGATAAATATCTGGAAATGAAATTACTGGGTCATGACACCCTCTAAAAAGATACCAGTTCTCATTAGTGAACACACTTGTCTATTTCCTGTATCCTGCTGAAATTTATTTTCAGTGTTGTACAATTATTACAACTTGGCCTACCTTTCTCCTCTTTTTAGGAAAATCTCTGAAGGAAATGGAAACACCGTTGTCAGCACTTGGAATACAAGATGGTTGCCGGGTCATGTTAATTGGGAAAAAGGTAAATTGCTTTTTCCATCAGAAATCCTCAGAATCAAATGACTGAAGTCTTTTATACATGTTTCTGTTTAGAAGACCAAACTGGGGACCCAGATTCTGCATTGATAAAACACCTCTCTAAACAAATACAATCTTTATTGGTTTTACAGGATTACCAGTTTTGTTGTTCTCATACCCTCCTGCTCCTGTTGGTTAGAACTTTTGCTCTAGGAATTAGGAGCGGTTGTGCTGCCTTAATAATATGTTTTTTGTTTTGGTGGTGGAATCTTGGTCTGGTTAAAATGGTGCCTGGGACAGGTCTCATTCACTTGGAGTAGAATTTGCAAGAGTCTTTTGTTAAAATAAACTTGTAGATATTAAGAATAATCACTCTGTTCCAGTTCAGGAGCCTCTCTCCCTTTAACCAACCTTTTAACTAAAATCTCCCACAAGGGAAAACCTTCGACTGGAAAGGAAGGTTCAGACTAAAGAACTGAGGGGAAAAAAAGACAGATGAGGTCAGCAACCCTTAAGGTGATGAGAGAGGGCTGTGGCCAGCCCTGCATTGTGACACAGCAGAATTATGAGCATATGAAGTTCCCTTATTGTGAGTTAGGTGGCTGAGTAGAGAGAGGGCAGATAAACAAAGTGAAGGCAAAAAAAATCTAATCCAGACTTGGAACTGCCAGGAGACTGGAACTCAGGACTTGCCACAAAGAGAAGTGAATAATTTGGGATAGCATAACTAAGCAGAAAGCTGCTAGACCTATCTATCAATTGTTTACCTGAGAGAAGAGGGAAATATTCTAAATTTCTTGCTTCAGGGTCAGGGAGAATGGTGATGGGCAACAGGCAGAACCAAAGAGTCAAGTTTGAAGAAACTATAGGACTTTTACTTGGAGCTGACACAGAGCGTATGGAGCGAAGTGTGAACTCAAGGAAGGCACCATGGCACATGCCTATTGTCCCAGCAAGTTGGGAGTCTGAGACAGGAGGATCACTTGAGTCCAGGGGTTTGAGGCTGCAGTGAGTTATGATCATGCCTGTAAACAGCCACTGCACTCCAACCTGGGAACCGTAGTGAGACCCTATCTCAAAAAAGAAAAAAGTCTGAACTTAAGTCTAATCTACCTCTTTTGGACTGTGTGATCTCATGTTACTTTACTACATTAAGCCTCAGTTTCATCATCTGTAAAACAGCAGTACTTCCCTGATGGAGTTGTGGTAAGGCTTAAAAAATAGGTAAGGTGCTTAGGATAGTGTGTGGCATGTAGGAAGTGTTCAATAAAAGTATTCATCGTTGTTAACCAGCATCACATTAAACAGGAGCGCTCAATTGGAGGCTGCCATTTAGGAATTCCATTTAAAGGAATGGTAGAATTCCACCTTTCTTGCCATTCTGGACTCCTCACAAGTGTTTACTGAAATGTGATTACCCTCCAGGCTTCAGTCTTGGTTGTTGATCAGTATAGGGCTGAGACTGAATCTGGCACTTGGATTGTCTCCATTCTCTGCACCCAAGCTGTCAGGGCCCTCACCAGAATGTTTACCTAACACCTTCTCTCTAGTCTGGAGTCTTTGTAGATGGAAAACTTGATGTATAACCCTTTGACTTGATTTCCAAGAAGCAACAGAGTTAAAACTGTTATTTCTAGGTGAGTGGCTTCATGCAGGTGTGGTCAGGTATTTTTCCTGACAGAGGCTGCTGTTCTTGTTGATTGCTTTTTCTTTTTTCTTTTTTTTTTTTGAGACAGTCTCGCTCTGTCACCCTGGCTGGAGTACAGGTGCACGATCTCAGCTCACTACAAACCTCCACCTCCCAGGTTCAAGCTATACTCCTGCCTCAGCCTCCCGAGTAGCTAGGACTACAGGTGCACGCCAGCATGCCTGGCTAATTTTTTTGTTTTTTTAGTAGAGACAGTGTTTCACCATGTTGGCCAGGCTGGTCTTGAACTCCTGACCTCAAATGATCTGCCCATCTCGGCCTCCCAAAGTGCTGGGATTACAGGCATGAGCCACCATGCCCAGCCTGTTCTTTTTGACTATTGGCTTTATTTTCTTCTTAAACATTTTAGAACAGTCCACAGGAAGAGGTTGAACTAAAGAAGTTGAAACATTTGGAGAAGTCTGTGGAGAAGATAGCTGACCAGCTGGAAGAGTTGAATAAAGAGCTTACTGGAATCCAGCAGGTAACTCTCTTCATGGACCTTAACTTTCTGCCTTCTATCAGAGCTTCCTGGATATAACTTGTGGTTATGGGGACATGTTCTGCAGTCAGACTCCCTGGGTTCAGATCCTGGATTCACCCTTTCTCTTACTGTGAACAAGTTTATCTTTGTCTCAAGTTCCTCATCTGTAAAAATGGAATAATGGTGACATTTCCCTATTAGGATTGTTGGGAGAATTAAATAATGTAGATTGAGCTTGACACATACTAAGTGCTTTATAAGCATTTATTGTCATAGTTATTGTCAAACCCCAGCCAGCATCCATTTATGCTCACAGGAGAGCACCTGCCTTGCTAGGATCATGTATTGTCTGAAATAGAACAAGTAGCTTCTCTCTGGGCTGTTGTAATGTGTTTGGCAAGGCAAATAACATTTTGTTGGTTCATAGAAGGTCCAAGTTGAACATGATAGTGGGGTTGGGGGAGTCATCCTATTCAATTCCTTATATTAGAGATGGGGTACTAAAACCCAGTAAGGATTAGGACTAGCTCAAGACCACTTTTATTTATTTTTCCCTCTCATTTTATAGCATTAATTGGGGTGTGTTTGTGTTTTGGCTTTTTTTTTTTTTTTTTTTTTTTTGATATGGAGTCTCGCTCTGTCACCCAGGCTGGAGTGCAGTGGTGCAATCTCAGTGGCTCCCTGTAGCCTCTGCCTGCCAGGTTCAAGTGATTCTCCTGCCTCAGCCTCCCGAGTAGCTGGGATTACAGGTGCCGCCTGCCACCACATCTGTCTGATTTTTTTGTATTTTTAATAGAGATGGGGTTTCACCATGTTGGCCAGACTGGTCTCAAACTCCTGACCTCAAGTGATCTGCCCGCCTCGGCCTCCCAAAGTGCTGGGATTACAGGCATGAGCCACTGCGCCCGGCCTATATGTTTGTGTTTTAATTACAGAATACATGCTGACTGTACAAAAGTTTTAAGTACATGTATAGGCACTAATATGGAAAATAAAAATTACCCATGGGGCACCAACTCAGAGATGACGATTACCAAAGCCTGAAATATATTTTTCATCTTAAAAAAATTTGATATAATGTTATTTACACTTTATAAACTATTCTTTTATTGGATAAAAAATTAAACATTTTCCTGTGATGGTATTTTTCAAAGCTCGCATGCATTTCATCTTGTATAAATGTATTATTTACCTAGCCAACTCTGTATTGTTCATTTAATATTATTTTTACCATTATGTGTAATGCTTCTTTGACTGTCCTTGGACGTAAATCTTTTTTGACCATTCCTGGTTTTTTTGGTAGAATAAATTCTTTGAGTTGGAATTGCTGGGTGATGTTTAAAGCTCTTGCTACGTGTTGTGAAATCTGTGTCTGTAGCTCGTGGCTGTGATAAACATCCTCAGAGATCCCTGCTATCCAACTCTTGTCACCAGCTAACTGGTCATTAGGCCAAGCTGTGTGAGTGAACCATTAGACAATTTGATAAAAATAAGCACTGCTGCCATTCTTTAGCATGCGTCTGTGCCACAAGTTAGTGACACATGTACATATATTCCCTTTACCTCACAGTAACCATCTAGGGTGTGGGCATCATAATCTTCATTTTTAAAATGAGGGTACTGAGGCATGAATAGGCTAAATAATTTGCTCAAGATCACAAGTTAGTAAATGGCAGTCAGTTTTCAGGCGTAGGCTTTGAAGACTCTAAACCTGTGCTTTTAACATCTGCCTCTTCTTGTGACTGGGGGCTTCACTGGAGCCAAGCCTCAGGAGGCATTTGCAGCCACAGTGGGTCATGCGAGGTAGAGCAGACTGCAACCTGATAGAATTCTTGGACTGGCCCACGGCCAGCCTTTTTAATTTTTCCAAGAGTTAAAGTTGTGGATCTGAGATGTGGCCTGGCCTGCCAGGGCTATGGTGGGCTCAGTGTGATTGCATCATTAGTATTGTGGCATGGAGTCTTCCGTCAGCCTCAGAGAACCCTTGCAATAATGCATTATTTCCCCGCAGGGTTTTCTGCCCAAGGATTTGCAAGCTGAAGCTCTCTGCAAACTTGATAGGAGAGTAAAAGCCACAATAGAGCAGTTTATGAAGATCTTGGAGGAGATTGACACACTGGTAAGTAAATATTCAGCTGAGAAGAACTAGTTTTCTTTGACTTTATTTCAGTCACATTCACTCTTTCAGTAATTTACTCTCCTATTGCCTGAGCAAACCCATCACTTGAGAATATTAAGCATCTACTATTGTGTGCCAGTCATGTTGCTAGGTCCTGGGTGAATGCATGATGATAAGACAGTTCCTGCTTTCTAGGCACTCACAGCCCTCCAGCATAGGACTTTTATCATTTACACTTATGTTTGCCAGTAGCATCTGTAATCGTCATGAAGCTGGGACCCAAGGAGTCCACGATCTCATGGTCCAGGAAACAGAGGATTTAACTTTCTCTGATGAATATGTGACTGATAATTCTGCAGGGCTCATTACTTATAGATGATTCAGCCAGACCCAGGTCATGTGAGGCCATTGAAAATCATTAACTCTTTTGCAGATGATAGTAATGATATCTCTAGCCTGATGCTTCATTCTTGAAGGTGAACTGCACTGTGTACTTCTGTTGGCCAGGGTGGGTGTAAAGAAGCAGCAGCAGGCACTTTTCCTGTCACAATGAGCCCATGGTGTGGCCAGGGCAGAGTATCCATACATAGGAAACAATAAAAGAACAAAGTCTGTGTTAAAGATCAGTTCCTATGGCCCAGACATTGAGAACACAGGGAGCTTTTATAGGGACAAGAGCCATGGAAAGGCCATACAGGATACAGACCCAGGGAAAGGGTTCCTGAAAATGGATATCACATTTACATTGGTGACCTGTGACCTGTTTTGTGTACTGTGGGTGTTTCTTATGTGCTCTCATGTCATTTTCACTGAGGATTATTTGTTACATGTTTACTATTTACTAACTTGTATTATCAACTTACTCTTCCATAGATCCTGCCAGAAAATTTCAAAGACAGTAGATTGAAAAGGAAAGGCTTGGTAAAAAAGGTTCAGGTGAGTTGTGTAATAGTGCACGACAAGGTGTAATATGTTAATGTGTAGGTATGTGTGTTTATCTGTTCAAAATCAGGTAGTGTAGGAGCGTGGTGTGTGGTATGGGCTTGTTTTGGTTATATTTATCAGCAGGAACCCCAAACGTCAGAGAAGAGCCACCTGTGTCCCTGTAATTATATTTGAATTTAAACTATTTAGGGAGGGAACTCACTGGAGAGCAGGTAGGGCTGACACATTACACAATTCCAGGAGGCAGTATTCATGCACACAGTGCTTCCTGCGATTGTGCAGTTGCTGTGCAGTGGCCCTGAGGCAAAGCTCCCTGCCTTTACCACCTTTTAGGGGATTGCTGGCCTAGAGCATGGTCAGAATGCTGGTCCTATGCTCCCTCCCTCCCCTTACCTTGGAACCCAGGCCAGTGGCCCATCTCCATTCATGCACAATCTGTTTTGAGTCTCAGCCATGGGTTCCCCAGAATGGGTAAGCAAGGAGCCTTGTGTGGGCAGTGGTCGGCTACCCCTGGATGGGCCCTTACTGCCCCGTGTGTATTTTCTAGGCATTCCTAGCCGAGTGTGACACAGTGGAGCAGAACATCTGCCAGGAGACTGAGCGGCTGCAGTCTACAAACTTTGCCCTGGCCGAGTGAGGTGTAGCAGAAAAAGGCTGTGCTGCCCTGAAGAATGGCGCCACCAGCTCTGCCGTCTCTGGAGCGGAATTTACCTGATTTCTTCAGGGCTGCTGGGGGCAACTGGCCATTTGCCAATTTTCCTACTCTCACACTGGTTCTCAATGAAAAATAGTGTCTTTGTGATTTTGAGTAAAGCTCCTATCTGTTTTCTCCTTCTGTCTCTGTGGTTGTACTGTCCAGCAATCCACCTTTTCTGGAGAGGGCCACCTCTGCCCAAATTTTCCCAGCTGTTTGGACCTCTGGGTGCTTTCTTTGGGCTGGTGAGAGCTCTAATTTGCCTTGGGCCAGTTTCAGGTTTATAGGCCCCCTCAGTCTTCAGATACATGAGGGCTTCTTTGCTCTTGTGATCGTGTAGTCCCATAGCTGTAAAACCAGAATCACCAGGAGGTTGCACCTAGTCAGGAATATTGGGAATGGCCTAGAACAAGGTGTTTGGCACATAAGTAGACCACTTATCCCTCATTGTGACCTAATTCCAGAGCATCTGGCTGGGTTGTTGGGTTCTAGACTTTGTCCTCACCTCCCAGTGACCCTGACTAGCCACAGGCCATGAGATACCAGGGGGCCGTTCCTTGGATGGAGCCTGTGGTTGATGCAAGGCTTCCTTGTCCCCAAGCAAGTCTTCAGAAGGTTAGAACCCAGTGTTGACTGAGTCTGTGCTTGAAACCAGGCCAGAGCCATGGATTAGGAAGGGCAAAGAGAAGGCACCAGAATGAGTAAAGCAGGCAGGTGGTGAAGCCAACCATAAACTTCTCAGGAGTGACATGTGCTTCCTTCAAAGGCATTTTTGTTAACCATATCCTTCTGAGTTCTATGTTTCCTTCACAGCTGTTCTATCCATTTTGTGGACTGTCCCCCACCCCCACCCCATCATTGTTTTTAAAAAATTAAGGCCTGGCGCAGCAGCTCATGCCTATAATCCCAGCACTTTGGGAGGCTGAGGCGGGCGGATCACTTGAGGCCAGGAGTTTGAGACCAGCCCAGGCAACATAGCAAAACCCCATTCTGCTTTAAAAAAAAAAAAAAAAAAAATTAGCTTGGCGTAGTGGCATGTGCCTATAATCCCAGCTACTGGGGAGGCTGAGGCACAAGAATCATTTGAACCTGGGAGGTAGAGGTTGCTGTGAGCCGAGATTACGCCCCTGCACTCCAGCCTGGGTCACAGAGTGAGACTCCATCTCAGAAAAAAAAAAAATTGAGTCAGGTGCAGTAGCTCCTTCCTGTAGTCCCAGCTACTTGGGAGGCTGAGGCTAGAGGATCACTTGAGCCCAGGAGTTTGAGTCTAGTCTGGGCAACATAGCAAGACCCCATCTCTAAAATTTAAGTAAGTAAAAGTAGATAAATAAAAAGAAAAAAAAACTGTTTATGTGCTCATCATAAAGTAGAAGAGTGGTTTGCTTTTTTTTTTTTTTTTGGATTAATGAGGAAATCATTCTGTGGCTCTAGTCATAATTTATGCTTAATAACATTGATAGTAGCCCTTTGCGCTATAACTCTACCTAAAGACTCACATCATTTGGCAGAGAGAGAGTCGTTGAAGTCCCAGGAATTCAGGACTGGGCAGGTTAAGACCTCAGACAAGGTAGTAGAGGTAGACTTGTGGACAAGGCTCGGGTCCCAGCCCACCGCACCCCAACTTTAATCAGAGTGGTTCACTATTGATCTATTTTTGTGTGATAGCTGTGTGGCGTGGGCCACAACATTTAATGAGAAGTTACTGTGCACCAAACTGCCGAACACCATTCTAAACTATTCATATATATTAGTCATTTAATTCTTACATAACTTGAGAGGTAGACAGATATCCTTATTTTAGAGATGAGGAAACCAAGAGAACTTAGGTCATTAGCGCAAGGTTGTAGAGTAAGCGGCAAAGCCAAGACACAAAGCTGGGTGGTTTGGTTTCAGAGCCAGTGCTTTTCCCCTCTACTGTACTGCCTCTCAACCAACACAGGGTTGCACAGGCCCATTCTCTGATTTTTTTCCTCTTGTCCTCTGCCTCTCCCTCTAGCTCCCACTTCCTCTCTGCTCTAGTTCATTTTCTTTAGAGCAGCCCGAGTGATCATGAAGTGCAAATCTTGCCATGTCAGTCCCCTGCTTAGAACCCTCCAATGGCTCACTTTCTCTTTAGGCAAAAGTCTTTACCCCATGCCTTCTCCCATCTCATCTCAACCCCCTCATTTGTTGGCTGTCTGCTGTCAGCCACTCTTCTTTCAGGTCCTCAGATGCACTGCACCCTCTCCTGCCTGGGGGTCTTTGCTCCTGCTACTACCTCTGCTTGAACAGCTCCTCACCTTCCTTCCTCCAACCCTACCCTTGTATAGGTGACTTTTGTTCATCCTTCAGAATTCAACTCACATGTCTCTTGCATGGAGAACCCTCACCTACTGTGTTGAGACCCTGTCCAGCCCCCAGGTGGGATCCTCTCTCGACTTCCCATACATTTCTTTCACAGCATTTACATAGTCCATGATAGTTTACTTGTGGGATTATTTGGTTAATCTTTGCCTTTAACACCAGGGTTCCTTGGGTGAAGGAGCTTCTTTATCTTGGTAACAGCATTATTTCAAGCATAACTTGTAATATAGTTATATTACATATATAACATATATATATATAACATAACATATATAACATATATAACAAGCATAACTTGTTATATAGTCTTGTATATAGTAAGACCTCAATAAATATTTGGAGAACAAATGAATGTTGAATGCACACATCAATAGTGAAACTTCTATAGCTGCATTTGGCCTCAGAATCTCCGTCAGCATTGGAATTTACAGCCTTAACAGCCTTTATTGTCTTAAGGGTTGAGAAAAGAGGCCCTAATGCATGGACTGCTGGGCAGATGTGATAGGTGATTGCACAGGCCCCACCCACGCAGATCTGCTCACCCAAGGGGTTTCTGCCTGTGAAACTCTTCTCCCGTGAGAAGGGGAGAGAGCACCCCTTCTTCTCCCGTGAGAAGGGGAGAGAGCACCCCTTCTTCTCCCGTGAGAAGGGGAGAGAGCACCCCTTCTTCTCCCGTGAGAAGGGGAGAGAGCACCCCTTCTTCTCCCGTGAGAAGGGGAGAGAGCACCCCTTCTTCTCCCGTGAGAAGGGGAGAGAGCACCCCTTCTTCTCCCGTGAGAAGGGGAGAGAGCACCCCTTCTTCTCCCGTGAGAAGGGGAGAGAGCACCCCTTCTTCTCCCGTGAGAAGGGGAGAGAGCACCCCTTCTTCTCCCGTGAGAAGGGGAGAGAGCACCCCTTCTTCTCCCGTGAGAAGGGGAGAGAGCACCCCTTCTCAGGTGCCCACTTGCCTGGGACATGGTAAGTCTTACCACAGGGAGAACAGATGGGAATGTGTGCTCCCACAAACGAATTCTTCGGCCTCAGGGCTGGAAGGATTCTCCCACATTGTTTTTTGTTTTTGTTTTTTTTTGAGATGGGTTCTTGCTCTCTTGCCCAGGCTAGAGTGCAGTGGCTTGATCTCTGCTCACTGCAACCTCCACCTCCTGGGCTCAAGCGATCCTCCCACCTCAGCCTCCCGAGTAGCTGGGACCACAGGTGCGTGCCACCATGCCCGGCTAATTTTTTGTGTTTTTGGTAGAGACAGGGTCTTGCCATGTTGGCCAGGCTGGTCTCGAACTCCTGAGCTTAAGCAATCTGTCTGTCTTGGCCTCCCAAAGTGATTGGATTACAGGCGTGGGCCACCATGCCCGGCCTCGACATTGTCTATTTAGTTAATGGTTTCTACTTATCCTTCAAGGCACAACTTAAAGGTTACCTCTTCTGAGACTCCTTCATATAGTAGTCAGGACCTTTGTCAAAAGTACCAGAAGCCAAGCTGGGCACAGTGGCTCACGCCAGTAATTCCAGCACTTTGGGAGGCTGAGGCAGGTGGATCACCTGAGGTTGAGAGTTCAAGACCAGCCTGACCAACATGGAGAAATCCCATCTCTACTAAAAATACAAAATTAGCCAGGCATAGTGGCGCATGCCTGTAATCCCAACTACTCAGGAGGCTGAGGCAGGAGAATCGCTTGAACCTGGGAGGCGGAGGTTGCGGTGAGCCGAGATTGCGCCATTGCACTCCAGCCTGGGCAACAAGAGCAAAACTCCATCTCAAAAAGAAAGAAGAAAGAAAAAAGGAAGAAAGAAAGAAGAAAAAGGAAGGAAGGAAAAAAAGGAAAGAAAGAAAAAGAATCAGAAGCCTAATTCCAAAGAGACTGGGCAAAATAGAAACTTTATGGTCATGATATCAAGTTATCCCATGTAATTTTGGGAAGGTCAAAGGCAGCCGGGCTTCAGGAACTCAAACACTGCCTGTAATCACTCTGCCTCTGCATGCCTGCATCATCCTCTCATTCCTCCTTCTTCCACAAAGCAGGACATGTGACTGCTGACAACCCCTGTGTTGCTCATCCTACAGCTTCAGTGCCAGAGGGGAACTGCCTCTGTTTGCTTGTTTCTAATTTGAAAGATCCTGGGGAAGAATCTTTTGGCTAATCAGCAATGGCCAGGGCAGCAGGGTCTCATGCCACACATAAGGTCTTTAGGGGCCAACACTTAGGTTTTGGGGTAGTTCCCAGAGAGGGGGCCACAGAGTCCACATCTGTAAGTGGTAAATTAGGTATTCCTTCCAGGTGGTGCCTGGCACATTGTTCAGGCTTAATCTCTGATTCCTCAGATGATGAGTAGAAGCCTGGGAAGGAAGGGTCACTGATGAGATGCTTGGCTGGGCTATGCCACTTGGGTATAAGAGGGGTGTCCCACTTAGGGCAGAAACTTTTAGATGTCACCAATATCCACTTTCTCCTCCTACAAAAAGTGAACTAATTTTTAGTTTAATGCATGGCCAACCAGATAGACTGTATTTCTCAGTCTCCCTGCTCAGAAGGCCATGAGACTACATTTTAGCTAATGTGGTTTATACAGAGTGTGTATGTCTTAAGGGAAATGTCTTCAGAGGCAAGTGGCGTGCCCTTTCTCTCTGTGGCCTAGAATGCAGATGTGATGGCTGTGGTTGGAGTAGCTGTCTTGGACCTGAGGTAGAAACTGTGATGCGGATGGCAGAGTAACAAAATAGAGGAGCATGGAGTTGTCATACTACATAGGTCTATGTGTAGGAGAAATGAAGTTCTGGCTATAAGTCACTGTTATTTTGGGTTTTCTGCCTCTCACAGCCAAACTTAATCCTACATCATTCATATGCAGGTATGAAACAGGTATGAATCAGTCCCAGTAGAAGGCCTTATTCATAGATGGCCTCCTAGGCCTGCCACCTGCAAATCTATCAGCAACAATTCCTGCTCAGTGTTCCCATTCCAGTGGTCCAAGAGAAAGTAGCTTCCTGCCTTCCTGTGCCCATTCTCTCAGACATGTGTCTTCTACAGAGCATTTCCTGCCCTTTCTGCCCACTCTGCAGCAGGAATCAGAGTCTGTGTGAAACTGCTTTCACCTGCCCAGGCCTCTCTCCATACCCCTTTCTCCTGCCACCATTATCAAGAGGCTCTGCCTAGGGGCTTTGGCCAAAAGAGGAGGTATTCAACATATACCACAGGAGGGAGTCTCTGTCTATGGTGACAATTCTGAACACTGTGTGTCCCTGTGGGACATTGTGTGAGTGCATGTGTGCAGGACGTGCCTGGGGCTGTGTCTAATGTCAGAATATTTGACAACCAGTCAGAGCAGATGTTGACCAAAAGAGCAGAGCAGCATCTCGAAATCATCCCACAGTGCCAGGAATTAACCCCAGACTGTGGAAACCGAGAGACCCAGGTGTTTCCAGGGGACAATCTGGGTGGCTAGGGTATGGGGGGGCACTCAAAGGGCTTGGGGCATCACCTGTTTTCGATTGTGAAAAACCTAGTTCAATGTTACAACAAGCAGTTCAGCTGTACTGTGTACACTGCCTGAATATCAGCCATTGCTGTGCCACGTGTCTGTGTGTACATGCCTTGGAGTGCTGGCACAACCCAGGAGGAAGCCATGGGGGGCACAGGATGACTCTCACAAAGCTTTTTTTTTTCTTTTTTGAGGCAGGGTTTCACTTTGTCACTCAGGCTGGAGTGCAGTGATGCGATCATGGGTCACTGCAGCCTCGACTTCCTGGGCTCAAGCAATCCCCTCCCACCTCAGCCTCCTGAATAGCTGGGACTACAGGTGCATGCCACCAAGCCTGGCTAATTAAAAAAAAAAAAAATTGTAAAGACAGTCTTGCTATGTTGCCCAGGCTGGCCTGAAGCAATCCTGCCACCCTCAGCCTCCCAAAGTGCTGGGATTATAGGTATGAGCTACTGTTCCTGATTTCACAGAGGCTTTCTGAGGCTGGGCCGTGCACCCCAGCAGTGGCAGAGGATACAGACCTCACCTAGGTTCTTGGCCTGAATGATAGTCCAGGCTGGGGCAGACAGGAGTACTAGGCAGCATCCTGGGGTCAGGGACTGGCCTCTCAGGCAGGCAGAAGATAACTGGGACCTCTGAGGGGACATGTGACAGGGTTGAGGAGCACCAGAGGGACGGAGAGAAGCTGGACATCAAATTCAGAGTAGAGGCGACAATGCAAGATCCACCTCCTATCCCCTCTGCAACCAGTGTCCCCAGAGACACTGACCACTTCACTCAGTTGGGCTGGATCTTTTATTTCATGTCATATCCTCTCCATGCCCACCACTGTTCTCCAGCTGACACTTCATGGCTTGAGGTGCTCCTGTGGGATCAGCATTTGCCATCTTTCATGATCTGGATGTCCTGTTTGGTTTTTCTAGGATCAAAGAAGACAGGCATGAGGCTACCTTCTCAGGAGCTGTAGTGTACCATTCAGGGACCTGGCACAGTCCATCCAGACATCCTGCTGAGCGTCGCCCACATATGCAGTGTATGGATACAGGGCAGATCCCAAGGGTCCATGGGCACATCCTTCTACAGCTTTTCCTTTTTTGTACACCCTTCCCCTGGGGGATTTTAGCTTCCTGGGGTTTCCACCACCAGCGCACGCTGATGGCTGCCAAATCTGTCTCCAGCTCGGACCTATGTCCTACCTGTTCATGCAGTTGTCCATATCCAGTGGGATGTCCTAGGGGCTCAACTGTCCACAAACATCACTGCCCCCCACAGAACTGGTACAGACCCCCAAACCACCCATCTCAGCCCATGAAACCACTGGCCACCCAAGCCCACAAATCAGAAACCAGTATGCTGCCTCCTTCCCCTCAGCCTTTACATACAGTCACATACCAAGCCTGTCAATTCCACTCCCAATGTACCTCCTAACCATGAGTCTTTGATTAGCATGATCTTTCTCTAAGCTAGGACAACATCCTGATGTTCCTTATATTTCCTCAAATACAAACTTTCACATCTATCCAGAGCTTTGCAGCTTCCGAGGACTTTCTTCACTTCCATGGTCTCATTTAGTTCTCAGGATCATAGAAGATGGGTTTTATTGATGAAGAAACTAAGAGCCAATAGGTGATCTGATGTAGGGAGGTCATGTTCTAGCCCTGCTCATCTTTCTGGACTCACTTCTTGCCTCTCCCTGATTCTCCCTTAAACCTTATACTCCAACATGTCCAACTTCTTATATTTCCTCAAATGTAAACTTTTCCTTGTAGACCTTTTCAAATTCATCTACTTGGAATTATCTTCCCTTGCTCCTTTTTCCTAGCTAATTTCTACTTATTCCTGTGTGCCCCACTGATCCCTTAGAATTCTGTGCTGAAGGCCGGGCACGGTGGCTCATGCCTGTAATCCTAGCACTTTGGGAGGCTGAGGCGGGTGGATCACTTGAGATCGGGAGTTCGAGACCAGCCTGGCCAACATGGTGAAACCCCATGTCTACTTAAAATACAAAAAAAAAAAAAAATTAGCCAGGTGTGGTGGTGGGCGCCTGTAATCCCAGCTATTCGGGAGGCTGAGGCAGGAGAATACTTGAACCCAGGAGGCGGAGGTTGCAATGAGCCAAGATCGTGCCACTGCACTCCAGCCTGAGTGACAGTGAGAGTCTGTCTCAAAAAAAAAAAAAAAAAATTCTGTGCTGCAATTGGCTGACTATCAGCCTGGCTTCCCCCTTACACCAATTGTATGTTCCAGAAGGCCAGTGATGCTGTCTAACTTAGGCTCTGTTCTAGCCCCAGTGCCTAGCACATAGTAAATGCTCAATAAATAATTGCTGGCTAGACGAATGAAAAAACAGATGAGGTCACCTAGTCAATCAAGGCAGAACAAGGAAAATGGTTTCTGCCCCTACTCCCTATCCACCACCAGCTTCTAGATTTCTGCTTGGAACCATGTGCCTTCTTTGAGTTAATCTGGCACTCATTCTATTAGGGGCATATGTTGGAGGACTCTTCTCAGGTCAAGCGTGTATGAAGGAAGAAGCAGGTCAAGTCTTGCTCCTTTCAGACTGTGCACCAGAGATGGGGCCCACCCAAGCAAGCAGGGGTTGTGGGGCAGACTTACATCCGGGCCAAGCAGAGCTGGCATTCATTCGTATATGTGAGCCCATCAGTGCCGCAGACCAGGTTGGACATCTGGGAACAGGTTGGAGACTCTACCATGTGTTCACAGATGGGCTGTGGAAGAGAAGGGAGGGAGAGGACTCAGGGATTCAGAGGCAGTGGGGAGGGATACAGGGGTTCTGCTCGGAACCAGTGGGGCCCCAGTGAGGTATCAGAGTCAAGAAGGCCCCCAGTGTGGGTCCAGTGAAGATGAAACCAACCACTCAGAGCCCCTTGGTGTGTTTGCTTGTATGTGCGTGTGCATGACCACGTGTGTGCCTATGGCTGGATGTGTACATATGTGTACCTGTGTCTCTGGAGCCCCCGGTGTGCAGGCATTCAAGCGTATGCCTGTGTTTATGTCTATGTGTGTGGAGTGAGTTTGTGCCCTCAAGCTCCTGGGGACTTGTTCACACCCTCTTCAGAGGCACTAATCAGAACTTCTGCTGGTCCCATTGAAGACCCCAGGATACGGAACCACCCATCATTCCCAGGAGGCCCCTCTCTCCCTGGGGGCTCCTGAACTCTCCCTGGCCTGCATGATCTATCAGGCCCATGTCAGAAAGGCTGCAAAGTGTGCGAAGGCTGAAGAAATGGGGCAGAGCTTGGGGCTTAATTGAGGCTGTCTGAAAGGGTTTTAGGACAGGCCTGAGGTCAAGGTGAGAACTCAGTCAGGACTGGCATTAGTGCCTGAGACAGGGATAGGCTGAGAAAGGTTGTGCGGTGCAACCGTGAAGGCCCGAACCCTAGAAACCTGAATTTTGCCACTGATTAGCTGTATAACCTTAATTGAGGTATTTCCACTCTCTGAGTCTCAGTTTCCTCATCTGTAAAAATTATAATAGTGGCGTTTCTCTCACATAGGGCTAATTGAAATAATGTATGTAAACTATTTGGCTCTTTGGCACTGAATAAGCGGGGCTGGATTCTGATGGACTGACGGGGACGATGCTGAGGCTGTGGATGGGAAGGTGGCTCCGAGCCTCCTCATTCCACTACATGAAGGGGCAATCTCAAGAGTCTCAAGGATGCCAGTACCACTGCCTTCTGGGTCACTGGGGGCATTAGGCCAAGGGCCAAGGTGGAATCAGGATTCGGGGACAACTTGGTGTTTAGACAATCAGATGGAATGTGGTGGTGGGAGGCTGGCACACTCCACAGGTGCTTTCAGTGTGCCAGGGTCCCCTCTTTGGCCTGAACTCTGTGGCCTGCCTGTCTGCACTATACAGAGCAGAGAGCACACCCTGTCCTGCTAAGCCTGGGTGGGGAGATCTCACTGATGGAAGGGGCCTTGGACACCAGGTGGGGGACATCATAAGGGCTTTGAGGCCAATCTTGGGACTTGGGTGAGGGGGCTGGGCCTACTCAGCCTTGGGGGCTAATGTGGGGAATGTGCAGGCCAGGAGGCCACCTTGGCCACCTTGGAGCCATTGAAGGTGTCTGAGCAGGATCGTGGAGAAGAATAACTGGTTTCTCAGCATGGACGAGAGGACTCCTCTCAGCAGAGAGAAGGTGAGAACAACACGCAGCTGCCTTACCATTCTTGAGAAAGGGAGCTTTCCTGCTGCCACTGGCACTTCTGAAACACAAAGAAGCAAGAATTAGATTATGCCGGCTCTAGACCCCAGGTCTAGGGGTCTGAGGACTGCTTCTGCTTCAGGGAGCTTGGTCCAGCAACTACCCAACCTGGAATTCCTCAAGGAAAGGTGATGAGCCACCAGACAATGGGGCTGCCAGAAAGCTGATGTGATCTTGGGTTCCATAAACAGAGACAGAAATTCAAAAATTAGGAAGGTGACAGTCCAGCCTATTCCTTGTTAGTTAGATCCCACTGGAATTGTTGTGTCCCATATAATAATTATAAAATAGCAATTCAGCAGTTATTATGTGCCGGGCATTGAGAACACATGATTTTAACTCCTCTCCACCCCTATCTTACTGCTGTGTAACAGAGGGAAGAAAGGAGATAGTAGTGGATGCTGTGTTCTGCCATCAAGAGCCCTCGCGCAAGTCTGAGGCACTCATTTCCCCTGCTGCCAGAAATATTGACCACTCACTGCAAGTCTCTTCCTAGGAATTACCCTCAGAGAATGAAGCTGCCTTGCCCAGGGCTGCATCCACTACCCAGGAACAGCCCATATCCCATGTCGGGTTGATGTGGTTACAAAGGGCCTGATCCCCTCGCCCAAAGCTGCCTGTAGGATCATCTGAAGCCTCTGTTGTGCTGCATGGAAGTCAACTTCCCTCATCCTTCATGGATGTTACTCCCATGAACGCTCCCCAGTAAATTGCATGTATAGCTCAGAATCTGTTTCCTGGGGCATAGGTCAGTTTAACGAACTACGAAAGAGGCTCAAAGAGGTGACGCAATGCAGTTTGTTAAGGCAGAGGTAGGATTTTCCCACACGTCTGTTGCAGTCCAGAGCCTGACTCTTTCTACATACACTGGTGTACCCCTCAAGGTCTGGCTGAACTGCTTAAAGGACATGAGCAAACTGTGATGTGACTGACAAGCATGATGGGTGGATGAGGGAACTGGAGCTATGTCTAATGGCACAGGTGGAAGGAAGGGCGTTTATGTAAATTAGAGAAGGGCAGGATGCTCCCTGAAGTCTCTGAAGGGCTATCCTGGGGCTGAGGGAGAGATGGACTCTTTTCAACCTCACAAAGCAGAGCCCATCTCTGTGAGGAGGCTGCAGGGAAGCAGGTTTGGGTTCCATATGAAGCAGAATTTTCTCTCAGTGGGAGCTATGCCACAGTGAAAGAGGCTTTCTCCAGAAGTAGTGAGTTTCCCATCACTGGAGGTGTGCAAGGCAATGTAGTTTTATATTTTCCTGGAGATGCTATTACAGGGTATTTCCACAGAGAGAGGGAAACAGAAACTTAGACTAAGTCACCCCAATGTGCTGTTTAAGCCTGGCATTGGGGTATCAAAATGCAAACCTAGACCTGTCACTGAACTGCTTAAAACCCTTCCATGTCAAATTGCCCAAACTGAAAGTGATCCAAATGTCCTTCAACAGGAGAATGGATAAATAAATACAATGGGGCACTACTGAACAATTAAAACAAGCAACTGATACATGCAATAACGTGGCTGAATCTCAAAAATAGTTTGCTGAGCATAAGAAACCACACACAAAAGATTATATACCCTATGATTCCATTTATGTGAAATCCTAGAACAGGCCAACTAATCTATGATGGAAAAAAATCACATTGGGAAGCTGGGGCAGGAGGATCACTTGAAGCCAGGAGTTTGAGACCAGCCTGGGCAACATAGCAAGACCTCATCTCTACAAAAAATTTAACAATGAGGGCAGGTTGCAGTAGCACACACCTGTAATCCCAGCGCTTTGGGAAGCTGAGGCAGGTGGATCACCTGAAGTCAGGAGTTCGAGACCAGCCTGACCAACATGGTGAAACCCCATATCTACTAAAAATACAAAATTTGCTGGGCGTGGTGGTGCACACCTATAATCCCAGCTATTTAGGAGGCTGTGGCAGGAGAATCACTTGAACCCAGTAGGCAGAGATTGCAGTGAGCCAAGATTGTGCCACTGGACTCCAACCTGGGTGACAGAGCAAAACTCCGTCTCAAAAATAAATAAATAAATAAATAAAAATAAATTTAAAAAAATTTTTAAATTAGCTGAGTGTGGTGGCACGCACCTGTAGTCCCAGCTACTTGTGAGGCTGAGATAGGAGGATCGTTTGAATCCAGGAGGTTGAAGCTGCAGTGAGCTATGATTGCACCACTGCACTCCAGCCTGGGCAACAGAGTGAGACTTTGTCTCTTAAAAAAAAAAAAAAAGTGTCAGAGCACTGGGATGGGGGCAGGGATTGACTGACATAGGGGAATTTCTGGGGCTATGGAAATGTTCTGTATTTATTTTTCTTCCCTAAGTCCTTGTCTCAAGAGGTCCTGTATCTTGATGGGGGTTTGGGTTACACGAGTGTATACATTGTCAAGATTCATCGAGTGATAAGATTTGTGCATTTCTTGATATTTAACTGTTAGGGAAAAGAAAAGCATTTAAAAAATATAAAGCCCTTCCGTGGTTCCCTGTCCTGATCACTAAGCCTCCCTATGGACCTGAGCTGCTTAGTCTTATGTTTAGGGTACTGCGTAAGCTGACCCTAAACTTGCTTCTTGGGCTGACTTCCCAGTACACCTCTCCATGCCCCAGCTATTCCTCTCTGCTCACGGGTCCTAGATTGGGCCCTGCTTTGGCTCATGCCATGTCCCCTCCCTGAAATGTCTTCGTCTCCGTTCTCCTCCCGCCGAATCATACCCTCCTTTCAAGGCTTGATGCTGCCCCCCAGTGAAGCTGTCCTTGACGTCCCCAACAGTTTCCTGAGCAGATCTGGATGGAGGCTTCTTTCACACCACCATGTACTGTCCCACTCACTGGGTCACCCCGCCTCCCTATGCACCTGAGCTCCTTGGGGTTCCTTTATGTCTGCCTTTGCGCAGCACTTGGTTCAATGTCCTACACTGTGGGTGTTCAGGAATTGAATACTAAAGTGCATTGGTGTAATCCCAGCACCTTGGGAAGCCGAGGCGGGCAAATCTTGGGGTTGGAAGTTCGAGACCAGCCTGGCCAACATGGTGAAACTCCGTCTCTACTAAAAATACAAAAATTAGTTGGGTGTGGTGGCATGTGCCTGTAATCCCAGCTACTCAGGAGGCTGAGGCAGGATAATTGCTTCAACCTAGGAGGCAGAGGTTGCAGTGAGCCAAGATCGTGCCACTGCACTCCAGCCTGGGCAACAAAGCAAGACTCTGTCTTGAAAAAAAAATTTTTGTTTAAATAAAAAAAAAAATTAAAGTGTATTGGGAGGAGGGGGTGTTCAGAACTCTAAGATGTCAGAGTTTCTTTCTGGGGGATGTGGGGAAAAGCTACATTTACCCCCAGGCTGCCCTTGACCTTGACCCAAAATGCCCCCTCCTCACTCAGCCCAGGCAGTAGTCTGAAATGTGCAAAAAACAAAAACAAAAACAAACAAACAAAAACCAAACTTCTTCAGAGCAGGCTTTTCAGTGTTCCCAACTGCTCAAGGAGTAGGTAGGTGTAGGTGCCAGGCTGGGCGTAAGCAGGCTGCTCCTGAACAGGTCCCCAGACCCGTTTCCCTTTCCCCCTGTGCCCAGGTCTGTTTCCAGCTGGGGAAATGGGTGTGGGACTGGCCATGAGGTCAGTGGCCCTGGATCCTGCCAGGCGTTGCCTTATAACTTATGGCTTTTGTCCAGGCGGGTCCTAACTGGTCTCCCCGCTTCCCTGTTCAGTTTATTCTCAATGTACCAACCAGAGCAACCCTTGAAAGACATAACTCTCTGCTCAAAGCTTTCAGTGCCTCCCATTTTAGTCAGAGGAAAAGCCAAGTTCTTATGTTGGCCAACAAGGTCTTTCCCGGTACAGTTCCAATTTGCCTCTCTCATCTCCTCTCCTATCACTCCGTACAATGTCCCCTCCTGCCACACTGGTCTTACAGTACCTCAGTCACTCCAGGCATGCCCCTGCCTCAGGTCCTTTGCACCTGAGCTGTTCCCTCTGCCTGGAATCTTCTCCCAGATATCCACATGGCTTAGTCCCTCATCTCCTTCAAGCTTTGCTCAAACATCGGACTCTCAGAGATACCTCCCCTGATTTGAAATTGCAACCCCCTTCCAGTGCCCATCACCCTGCCAAGTATTTTTTCCTTAACTTTTATCAGCTTCTAACATACCGTTTAACATACATTGTAACCATCTTGTTTATTGCCTTTCCCCTTTTCCTCTACCCCATTGGATTTATGCTCCATCAGGACCGTGCTTTTTCTGTTTGGGTCACTAATCTGTCTTAAGGGCTCAGAACAGTGCCTGACATGGTAGCTGTGAGATTGCAGGGATGGCCCAGATCCTGAGAGGGCCCTGCCCCAAGTATATGTGTCCAGTCCTGGGAAAGGGCTCTGTCGTGCTCACATGGCTGCCCAAGTCCCAAACCACAGCCTTTCAGAGAGATCGGGAGCTCAGAAGACCTCGGCCAGGTCTCTCTTAGCATCCACCACCCTGCACCCAGCATACTTGTCAGTCTCTCCTGAGAGCTGGGACCTACCTGCTCCCTTCTGTCCCCACAGCCTCCAGCCCAATAGTTGCTCAGTGCAGCTTTGAACTGGAACAATGCCCTCTTTTACAGCTGGAGAAACTGAGGCCCCAAGAGGGTAGGGGACTTTGGTAATTCTGCGCCAGTCAGGATTTGAACCCAAGTTTCTTTTCTCCCAGCCCAGAACTTTCCCCAGCACAGTGGAGGGTGCATATGCAGAATGAAGGTACATGGAAAAAGCTGAGGCCTCACAGGGTGCTCCAGGCCCTGCTTCTGCTCTCACCCCAAGCTCACCTACCAACACAAAGCCACAGAGAATCCAGGTTCTGCCCACTCACCCCTGTCCACAACAAGGAGGGCAGCCAAGGCCAGGGCGATTACCCACTGGCGGACGGCCATGCTGATCCTGGGATAGTGTAGCCTGAGCTGGCTGGGGCCTGCGCCTGAGGAAGGATGGGGGCCTATTTATAGTGCCGCTCTCCTAATCTTATCTTATCTAGGGCCAGATGGAGAGACCAGAGTTAATCTTTGCACGCTGACATCCGGAAAGGGCTTGCTCTAGGTGCAGATGCTGAGCTTTTGATGAGATGGGGCTGTGGCCATGGGGCTGGCAGGTTTCCAGAGTGACAAAAAGTTTGGACAACTTGCAAAGCTGACTCCAATCTGAGGGTTGGAGCAAGGAGAGGAAAGTTGAAGTAGAAAGAGAGAGAGTTCAAGGCAGAGAGAAGGGGAAAGAGATAGAGAAAGAGAGAAAGGAAAAAAGCAACTGGAAGATGGCAGGAGGCAGAGAAGGGGGCTGGAGCCTGGATTCCTTTGCCAGTGCCTCCAGCAACCAACTCTGGGACCTCGGTAGAGCCACTTTTCTTAACTGGGCCTCAGATCACCCATGCACGAAGTGGAGATGAGACTTTTGGCTCTGCCTTTCTCCCAGGCTGCTGTGAGGATGGCGGCGGTGATAGCAGACGGGAAAACATTTTGCAGAATATGAAATGAGCTGTAAACGTAAGCAGAAATGATCATTTTTACTTACTTTTATTTCACTTATTTTTTTGTACCGCAAAGTGGGCACAACTAACAGGCAAAACAAAGGCAAAATAAAACATTAAAAGGAAGATGCCTTCTTGCTTTGCAGGTATTATGTGTTCATTTGCTTTTTTTTTTTTTGAGACAGAGTCTCACACTGTTGCCCGGGCTGGTGTGCCTGGCGCGATCTCGGCTGGCTGCAACCCCTGCCTCCTGGGTTCAAGCGATTCTCCTGCCTCAGCCTCCTGAGTAGCTAGGATTACAGGCACCTGCCACCTGCCCAGCTAACTTTTTGTATTTTTAGTAGAGACGGGGTTTCACTATGTTGGCCAGGCTGATCTCGAACTCCTGACCTCGTGATCTGCCTGCCTCGGCCTCCCAAAGTGCTGGGATTATAGGCATGAGTCACTGCACGCGGCCTCATCTGTATCTTCATAGGTTAAATAAAGACAAGATTCTTTTAAAGAAAAATCAGTTTCTAAAACTCCCCCATACTTACATAGTATACATTAATAAGTCATTTGGATATTTGCTCTCAAAGAATTTCTGATATATAAAATACATTTTATTTACATACACGTTTCTCTAATTCATTTAGATCAGTGTTTTTCAGCTCTGTCTGCAGATTGGATTTCCCTGGGGGAGAATTTACAAATACAGATGCTGAGCTTCGCTCTGAAATATTTAAATCAGAATCTGTGTTTTTTTTTTTTAAAGAAAAACTTTATTTCGAAAGATTTCAAGCCTGCAGATAAGTTGCAAGAATATTCCAATGACAAGGCGAAGGATTCTTGTTTGAGGACAGCCCCAGCCAGGTGCGGTGGCTCATGCCTGTAATCCTAACACTTGGGAGGCTGAGGCAGGAGGATTGCTTGAGCCCAGAAATTAGAGACCAGCCTGGGCAATATAGCAAGACCCCAACTCTAAAAAAAAATTTTTTTTTTAATTAAAAAAAGAACAGTCCCTTTGGGGACACCAGCCATCCAGTCACCTCTACAGACCCATAGAAGCCCCAGACCTGTGGCCAAGACTAGCTTGAGGCCCCCAGTGATCCTTGACTCAGCTTCAAGATCCTTCCGTTCCTCCTTAGGAAACTGCACAGTCCCAGGGATGCCTCTGAGGCAGGTGGCAGCTATCTTTCCATTGCTTAGGCAGGTAGAGAAAATATTTAATGATGACTTCCTGTCCTAAAGCAAAAACGCCATCTTATAAAAGGGGAATTGGACTTTAAAGGTCATCTTGGGGCCAGGCACCATGGCTCACACCTGTAATCCCAGCACTTTGGGAGGAGGCTGAGGCGGGTGCATTCACTTGAGGTCAGGAGTTCGAGACCAGCCCTGGTCAACATGGTGACACCCATCTCTACCAAAAATACAAAAAATTAGCCAGGCGTGGTGGCGCATACCTGTAATCCCAGCTACTCAGGAGGCTGAGGCAGGAGAATTGCTTGAACCTGGGAGGTGGAGGGTGCAGTGAGCCAAGGTTGTGCCACTGCATTCCAGCCTGGTGACAGAGCGAGAAACTGCCTAAATAAATAAATAAATAAATAAATAAATAAAAATAGGCTTGGTGTGGTGGCTCACGCCTGTAATCCTAGCACTTTGGGAGGCCAAGCTGCATGGATCACCTGAGGTCAGGAGTTCGAGACCAGGCTGGCTGACATGGTGAAACCCCATCTCTACTAAAAATACACACACACACACACACACACACACACACACACACAAATTAGCTGGGTGTGGTGGCGTGTGCCTGTAATCTCAGTTACTTGGGAGGCTGAGGGAGGAGAATTACTTGAACTAGGGAGGCGGAGGTTGAAGTGAGCCGAGATTGCGCCACTGCACTCCAGCCTGGGTGATGGAGCCAGACGGTCTCAAAATAAATAAATAGATACATAAATAAATAAAATAATAAAATAAAAAATAATGGTCATCTGGGTTTCATCTCCCTTCTTCCACTAGGGCTTTCCTACAGCAGCCCCACTGGGAGGTCATTCATGGTGATGGGGAGCTCACTACCTACCAGTTTCGTTGTTGGATGGCTTCGAACAAAGACAGTCCTTCCTCACACAAGAGGTCTGCCTCCCTGAGAGTCCTTGGGGCTTATAGCTTTGTCTCTGGCCTCCTGTACTTGCATGAACCTCCTGTACTTGCACAAGCACCTTTAGGCTGAGCAGGTCTGCCATCTGCCTGCCTCCTACCCTTGCACATGTGAAGCTCCTGGGCCTCTCTCCATTTCTCATCTGATCACTGACAGGTCTGTCTGTCAGTGTCCCAGGTTACAGTGAGGAAGGGACAGAGGGGAGCAAAGGGATTTGATCCCTTCCTTGTTTTGGACCTTAGATTTCTATCCACGTGGCAGAAATGGCTACTGAACATTCTAGTTGCTGCAAGGAGCCAGGACGCTTGAATTTTGCATCCTTCAAAGTACAGAGTAAAGTCAAGGGCAGCCTGTGGAGTACTGAGCTCACTTACCATCCCAGCCCACCCCAAGGTCTCCTCTTCAGACAAATACCTTCTAGATTCACTCATAGTAACAAACTTCGTAATCTGTCATCCCATCAAAGTGTGAACCTAGCTCCTATATCCGACTGCTATTGAACAGCCCATTAAGGATGTCAGTGCATCCAAGAAAACCTCACCATTAATTCACCATTCATGTATTCAGTAAAAGTTTAACAAGCGGCTAAGTGCCATGCTCCATGCTGAGTGCTTGGATATGGCAGAGAGTGAGTCAGATACAGTTCCTGTCCTCCAGGAGCTTTGGTTAAGTAGAGGCACAGTACTGAACGGGCAGCAGCATTGTATCATCACTGCTGGAGTGAGTCCCATGAACCACACATGCTCTGTTCTGTGAGAGGATCCAAGAGTGACCTATCCATCTGAGATCAGAGACGCCAAGGGCTGAGTGGGCAGGGCAGGCTGTAGCCAAGTGGAACAGTGCTGCAGGTAGAGGAAACAGAATGTGTGAGAGCCCTGAGGCAAGAAGAAGCTTCTCACATCTGAAGAACAGAGAAGCCATGTGGGCAAAGTGGGGCCAGGGAGCCGGGGAGGGCCATGACAGGAGTCTGGAATGGTCAGTGGGGGCTAAATAAGCCTTGATCTCTGCTCCCCTGACCCACATCCCAGCAACCTCCGGCAGTGGAATCCCAGGCACTGACCCCTCAGCCTTGTTTGCCTTCCCATGGAGGGTCTAGGTTCTGCTTCCTACATAGCTCTTGAATCCATCCCTGCCCCTCCACACCCCCCACTCTACCCTAGTCCTGGCCACTGTTGTCTCCAACCTGGCCACCTCAATGGTGTCCTGTCTCATATCCCTGGCTCTCCACCTGCCACTCCAAATCACTCTGCACGCAGCGTCCCGGACAAGCGTCCTAAAGAGCAAAGCTGACCAGGTCATCTTGCCCAAAACACTGTAATGGCGTCCACTGCCAACAGGAAGAAGCCCAAACTCCTTAGCCTGGTGACCACACCCCTTCAACATCTGATCCCAACCCATCTTTCCAGCTTCACCTTCACCTTGCCCCACCCTGGACCTGCACTTCTTCAGTTCAACTGAACCCCTTGCACAATTTATTCTGTCTGCTGGCAATGCTGGGTCTCCCTTCTCTATCCCCCTACTCCCATCCTGTGAAACCTAGCTTAAACATTCCCTCTTCTGAAACCTTCCTAACTGCCTTTCACCAACAAGGTCATGACTGTTGTCACCCACCCTGAATGCCCCACTCGCATTGTGCCTTCTGTCTCCTCCATCCGTGTCTTCCCCCTGCACTTTGGTGGCCCTTGCTTATCCATCTGCTGACTAAGCTGCAAGCTGTCTGGGAAAAAGGACAATGTTTCAATTATCTCTATTGCCCTGGTGCCCAGTCCTGAGCGTGGGACACAGTAGGTGCTCAATAAGTGTTGAGGCTAGGCATGGTGGCTCATGCCTGTAATCCCAGCACTTTGGGAGGCTAAGGCAGGAGGATGGCTTGAGGCCAGGAGTTTGAGACCAGCCTGGGCAATGTAGTGAGACCCCATCTCTACAAATTTTTTAAAAATTAGCCAGGCAGTGTGGCACGTGCCTTGTAGTACCAGCTATTCTGGAGGCTAAGGCAGAAAGATTGCTTGAGCCTGGGAGGTAGAAGCTGCAGTAAGCTGTGATCACACCACTATACTCCAGCCTGGGTGACAGAGCGAGACCCTGTCTCAAAAAAATGTTGCGTGACAGATCCAAGAACGGGAAGAACACAGTGGGCCCAAGGGCAGAGATGGTGCCTGCTTTGGGAAAAGAGGAGGTAAGTGCTGATCCCTCCATGCCCCTGGGATGCCGTGAGTGCCCAAGAGAGCCCCCAGATACACACAGGCCCCAGGAGGTGTGGCCTGGGTCACAGTGCCTGTTGTGTCTCTGGCAAAGGAGTAAGGCTGCCACCCTCCAGCCTAAGCCAACCCCTCCTGCACTCTTTCCTCCTCTGGCTTCTCTGAGACATAGAGAGGTACAGGAGAGAGCTCCGGACCAGGAGTGAGGCAATCTGGGTTTGTGTGTTCATTCAACAAATACTTATGAAGTATCTACCATATTCTGTGCACTGTTCTGAGTCACCAGGGGGTCAGCTATAAATAAGATGGAGAAAGTCCCTGTCTTAAGGAGCTTACGTTCTAGTGGGGTGATAGACAACAAAGAAAGACAACAATAAACACATGACATGTGATGTGGAAGAGAAATCAAGTGGCCAAGAGGAGAGTGACAAAGGAGAGGCTTCTCTTTGAATAGTAGCACATGAGCAGAGAAGAAACGAGTCCTGCAGAGGTGGCAGGGGAAGAGCCTGCCAAGCAGAGGAACTGCAAGTGCAAAAGCCTTGACTTGGGAACAGGGTTGGCAGCTACAACACCAAGGAGTCCAGTAGAGCCAGAATGGAAAGAACAAGGAAGTCAGTGGCGGGAGGTGAGGGCCTCGTTGTACACTCAGCTCCCAGCCCAGCTACCAGTTTCTTAGGTGAGCTTAGGTGCATCCCTTCCCCTCTTTGGGCCTGCACATGTTCTTCCATCTCCCATGTTGGGTTCACCAATTTGTACCACCAGCAGCCTGACTCCCAGGGCACCTGTGAGGGCCCTGGAGAGGAGAATGTGAGATGAGATGTGTGTAGCTGCTGTGATACCAAGGAAAGGGTTTAAGTGGGGATTCCTGGAGGCAGAGGAGAGGCCAAGACCTAAATGCCCTGGGCACCTGCACAGGTCCTGGAATCAATACAATCAGGACACAGATGACCTAAAACAGGGCTCAGGCAGGAAAGCTGGGCAATTCCTGCATCTTCTGCCCCAGGTCAGAGTGAAAACCTGGGTCCTGTGCCTTGGCTGGGCCAACACTCCCCAGCCTCACCCAGCAGCCTTCATGCCATCTGCTTAGATTGGCCTGGTGCCCAGCTCCTTGAGGTAAACAGCCACTCCTTGATGACGGCAATGCTGGATCCATCAGGTCTGAGTCATGGGTTCTGCTGATGGGTGGTGGGGACAGAGGCCTTGTTTAGCTTAAGGTGGGGGAGCTGAGCTCCAGCAGAGCTTGGGTCTGCCAGATGGCATGGCCAGCATGGCCAGTTTGCCCTGGGACCACCTTCCCTGGCCTCCAGCTCACATCCTGCTCCACCCTTCCTCCAGCCCAAAGTGCCCCCACCTGCCTGGAAACCTGTGTGAGCTACCCAGGTGTGGGCATCCCCTCCAGGGAGACCTGGTCTGGACTGAGCCAGCTCCACAGCCTGTCCTGGGCCCCTCAGCCACCCAACTCTATGTCCCAGGTCTAGAGCCCACCTGCCCATTCCACTTGGTCCAGAGCTGTAGGGGGCAGGCAATGGGAGGACACTACTTTAAGGAGAGGTTTCATCTACTTTTTTGGGATTTGACTCCAAGGAATGCTCAGTGATGAAATGAGCTGAAGTCATCCCTCCATGGGGGCATCCACTCTACCATTCAATGGACACTTATTGAGCACCTGTTGTGGGGCACCAATCACTATGCCAGTCCCTGGGACTCCAGAGATGAGTGAGACTTGGACTCAAGGAGCTTGCAGTTCACCAGTGGTGGAGAGGTGGAATGGACTCTTGAGCAGGAATCTATAAAATGCTGTGGTGAGAGCTGTGATAGAAATAGAGATATTCCTTCCACCCCATTATCCTATGGACCCCCTTCTCAATATGTCCAAAAGTCAACTTTCCATCTTCTGTCCACCCAGAGCTGCCCTACCTCCCAGTTCCCCCACCTGGGTGGACAGCACCACCATCACCCCACTGCCTTAGGCTAATCTGGGGACCATCCTGAGCTTCTCCTTCACCTCTACATTCCAGGAACCAGGTCTTACTGATTTCACCTCCTCACCACCTCTCATATCCATCACCTCCTCTATATTTCCCCTAGTTCAGCCTCTGCGATCTCTCACCTTCATTACTCATGCTGTTTCCCTGCCTCCAGTCTCACCTCCTCCAATCCATTCTGCTTCCAGAGCCATCTTTCTGAATGCAAAAATGACCACATCATCCCTCTGCCTAATATTATTCAATTACAGATAGTCAATTCAACTAAAGTTACTCAATCACAATGACTCAAGCATGAAAACCAAGCTCCTTGGTTTGTATGACATAAAAGTTCCGCCACGACTGGTCCTCTGTTGGCCTCTCTAACTTCACCTCTGGCCACTTGAGCCTTCACCCCATCCGATAGAACCACCTGCAGGCTTTTACGCCTCCAAGCCTTTTCTTATGCTGTTCTTCCTGATTGGCGTGCCCCTCTATTACCTCCCCTTGGGCTCTCCTCTCAGACCCTCAGCCCACTCCAGTTTGGGGACCATGTTTGCACAGACATCTATCCCAGCAGCAGCTGTAATGTTTCATGACCTTATCTTGCCTATGTGACTATCTCTCATATTTCCTTAAAGAGAGGAACAGGGGGACATTTAAGTCACTTCATATCCCCAGTGCTCTGCCCAGGGCCTGGCATGTGTGTGTTGACTATTTGAATCCATCCTGCACTGGATGAAGTCTCAGGACAGTAAGGATGCCAGCTTCAGATGCTTGGTCTGCTGGACTGAGGGCTTGAGGAAGCTCTGAGGACAAGCTGGACTCTAGTGGGTCCACTGGGTCCAGCCAGTGACATCCTATGCTGTGTCCATATAGGTGGGAACAGAGGTGGCACTCTATTTCAAGGACCACATTTTCTACTAGCTCTTAGCCAACCTGGCTGGGGACCTAAGAACTTAGTATCTCCTCTAAGACCTGAGTGTGGTGCTTTGTCTCCATAAGCTACCCCAAGACCATCTGCTGAACTCACAGGAAACAGTTTCAGTGCCTATCTTCTCTCCTGGTGCATGGACTCTTGGCTTGATCACCTCCAACCATAAGGGATTATCATACAGACCCATCGAGGAGTGGGGCTGCTCAAGAGACCTGGTGTTCTGGGACCTTGTGCCATCCAAACATTTCCATTCATGGACATAACCAGTGGCTCAAGTCCTCTGAGCATACATACAAAAGAGCTTAGAACAAAGTCTCTTGATACCCCCTTCCGTTCCAGAGCTCTGATGGCCTTCAGAAAAATCAGATTATCACAGCCTGGTGCAACATGTCACAACTCCAGACCACTATGAATTTTGATAGGGTCCTTGGGTTGCAAGCAACAGAAGTAGATTTTGGCAAACCTCAGCAGAATAATAATTTTCCAGAAGGATGTGGTATTGTCTTAGGTTGGACTCAGGGGCAGACCATGAGAAAAGCACATTAGATTCCAAATCATTTTCTGGGAGGCAATCCCACGAAACACCTGCAGGAGAGTGGGAATAAGGAAGGCAGGGAAGGGAACTAATAATGTATGCATCGCTGAGGTTACCACTGGGGAAACTGGGCCTCAATCCAACCAGGGATGGCTGGGACACTGTGTGGCACACATGGCAGAGTTATCCCCACTGAGAGGTGAAGGAATTGGGGTATATATCCAGCAACTCCCAACAGTCGCTGATTGAGGGCTGCTGGAAGAGAGACCATTAACTCCCTGGCACTATCGGCTAGCTCCTTTCATGTCTCTGGGCTCCTAGAGAAAGCCTCCGGGCAAAGGATTGCAAGGGTTGCACAGGGAGGCCGCAGGTATGCACAAGAATGGGGAGTGGTAAACAGTGTGGGTGGGACACTGACAGTGCCTGCTACCACAGCTGCACAAAAAACTAGGTGACAAGCTGAAAAAACTATGCCCCAAAAGAACTGGGCTCAAAAAACCTAGAGTTATGTGTCCACATTCCGTTTTTTTGGTTTTTGTTTTAGAGACAAGGTCTTGCTCTGTTGCCCAGGCTGGAGTGCAGTGGTGAGATCACGGCTCACTGCAGCCTTGACCTTCCTGGCTTAAGCGATCTTCTCTCCTCAGCCTCCCAAGTAGCTGGAACCACAGGTATGCATCACCATGCCCAGCTAATTTTTTATTTTTATTTTGTAGAGACAGGGTCTTCTTATGTCGCCCAGGCTGTTCTCGAGCTCCTGGGCTCAAGTGATCCTCCCAAAGTGCTGGCATTATAGATGTGAGCACTGTGCCCAGCCCATGTCTACTTTCTGACCAGGGAAGGGAAGGCATTTTTATGGACAGTCCCTTATTTGTATCCAATGAAGGTAAGTAGGTCTCCAAAGAAAACCTGGGATTCTATTACCGAAAGGAGGAATGTTGCTGGTCAGACAAAAGCCACAGATGTTACTAAACCTTCCCCACATGCTTACTTTGTTTTGTTTTGTTTTGAGACAGAGTTTTGCTCTGTTGCACAGGCTGGAGTGCAGTGGCACGATCTCAGCTCACTGCAACCTCCGCCTCCCGGGTTCAAGGGATTCTCCCACCTCAGCCTCCCGAGTAGCTGGGATTATAGACGCGCACCACCACACCCAGCTAATTTTTGTATTTTAAGTAGAGACAGGGTTTCACCATGGCCACATGCTGATCTTTCACTTGTACGATGAATTCGCTCACAAGAGCCCAGGGCTTCATAAAGCTGGCCCAACAAGGGCCTCCTGATGGCTCCTGGACACAGGGGTGCCGTTGTCCAGAGTAACAGCTCCCAGACTCATGTTGGAGTCCTGAGTGCTGCCTCCCTTCTGGGCTGTGCCAGGGGTGGGCCAGGAGGCAGCCATGCCATCAGAACCTGGGCTCTGGAGTCTGGACACCTTGTCTGTGTGACCTTGGGTGTGTCATTGCACCTCTGAGCCTCAGTTGCTCACCTGTAATCAGGGCTACTTCATGTGGTTGTGTGGAATGTGTTCTGTTCATCTCCAGGGGGTGCCATTCCCCTTAGATTCCATGGGCCCTGTAGTGTGCACTTAACTGGAGTGGGGGCAGGTAAGGTATCCAGCAGCAAAGTTCAGAGGCCATGCAACCTGCCCAAAGGATCCTGGGGTGTGCTGGGGAGAACCAGAGTTTTGTTCACAATCTCCCACTCTCATACTTTTCTTTGGGGGGGCTGTCATCATGCTCTCCCACTTATAGACAGGCTTACTGTTTGCTATTAGGGATGGGGAGGTATGGCTGCAGACCGCTTTTCCCAACTTTGTGAACTAAAGGAACAGAAGGGACTTTTCTCCTCTCCCCACAGCCTCCTTCAGTGTATAAAAACCCAAGAGGAGACTCTGATTGGGTTGGGTAAGTCATGTGCTCATCTCTTGAACCAATCAATGTGGCCTGGAAATTGGGCATCTGTGATGGGCCGGGCTGAGGTCACATGTACCCTATTGTTGCCAAAGGAACAGGATAAAATGATTAGCGATTTTGGAGCCTGGCAAATGGCACAGCCTCAGAGCCCAAAAGGCTAAAGTCTTCAGTCGGTTCCAGGAGCCCTGGAAATTCTTTCCTTTTCATGATGTTTCTTTTCCATATCCAAGGTGGCCCTGGTTGGTACCCACCCTCTTAAGGCAGACTCTCTTCCAGGCAGGTGCTTTCAACATGCCCATGGGCACTGGTCCAAGGCAGGCAAGGGAGAGGTCTAGTTCTCATGCTCAAAGGCGCCCAGTAAATATTTGAGGTGAGTCAGTGCGTTGACAGGTGAGGCCTCAGGGCTTGTCTGCCCCTCCCTGGTGATTGTCTCCACCTGACCCTCAAGCTGCCCGAAGATCTCTGCTGCCCTCTCCCTGTGGTGGGTGTGATCTGGGCATGGTCCCCTGCCCAGGGTCTCCTGCCCACCTCTTTCTTCCCAGCCTCGAGGAGGGGTCCTTAGATCCGCACAAGGAGTTCCCCCTCTTAGCCTCTTAACCTGGCCTTATAATTCTATCTATTTTACAGACGAGAAAATTAAGGCTCAGAAAGATTAAATGACAAGTTCGAAGTTTCCAGCATTGTAAGTGGCAGAGCCGGCATTCAAAACAATATCTGATTTTAAATCTCAGACTCTTACCAGATTCCTCTGCCCACCATAGATTCTGGTTTTAAATACATACACCCAGAAGCCCATCCTGGCCCAGTAACTGAAATAGCAGGAGCTGAAAGAGCCGCACAATTTGAAGTGAGTTTCGTGGAAAATTCTGTGGTCCAGCCTTGGCAGGAAGTTGCCAAAATAGTCGAGTGTGGACCACAGGTGGAACCTCCTTGCATCTGGGCCCAGCTAAGGTCTAGAGGTCCCTGAATATAGACCCTCTCCAAAAGGCAGTCATTCCAGGGGGTCCAGGCAGAAGGTGGGAGGAGCTGCCACACATGCCCCACGGCACTTATAGGTTCAGCAGGCAGGACCCATGTGACCCCAGCTTGGCATCTTCCCAGACACAGCCACTGGCAGTATCTATGACCAGGCTGAATTTAGACACGGGGTCCAAAATACTGCTACTCATCCCACCACCGACCCCAGCAACCTGCACCCTCCTCACCAACATTCACATAGTACCTGTGCTGTCCTCGGCATTGTTCAGAGGGTACACTGCTCCCTTTGCAGAACCTCTCCTGTCTGGCCCTCAAGGCCAACCTCCCCCTCCCTTTATGGTGAATGGGGTATGGGCATGGAGTCTCCTGCCGTCTCTCCTCTTCCCTCCCAGATTTGAAAAGAAGTCTTTGGACTCTCACCAGGATATGTGATATCCTGATATGTCCAGCCTTAGGGTCTTCTGCTGTCCCTTTCTGAGAATCTGTGCTTGCTGGGAACCCAGGACAGCTCCAAGGACAGGAAGGACTGAAGGAAGGGGCAGTGTGGTTTGGAGAAAGATCCCAGATTCAGGAATACGACAGAACCGGGTTTGAACCCTCATTTGGCCACTCACTCACTGTGATAGGCAGACCGATGCTCCCATCCCCCCAAATACCTACCTCCTTATCCCCCAAACCTGTGAATATGTTACCTCACATGACAAAAGGGATTCTGCATCTGTGATCAAAGGAAGGATCCTGAAATGGGGAGGTTATCCTGGGTTACCTGGGTGAGCTTGGGCCATAAAGTTCTCATAAGAGGGAGGAGGGAGAGTCAAAGAAGGAGCTGTGATGATGAAAGCAGAGTGGGGGGTGATGCAGGCCTGGATCCCAGGGTTAGAGGCAGCCTTAAGAAGCTGGCAAGGGCAAGGGACGTTTTCTCCCGTAGGGCCCCCAGAGGGAGAGCAAGCCTGTGCCCCATTTCTGACTCTGACCCCCGAGTGGAACAGAATGCATTGATGTTGTTTGAAGCCTCTGCGTTTGTGGTAATTTGTGACTGCAGCCATGGGGTGTGAATCCACAAGTTCTGTGACCTCAAGCAAATTCCTTAACCGGAGAGCCCACATTCCCTCATGGGGTGAGGGTGCCGTGGCTCATGCCTATAATCCCAGCATTTTTGGGAGGCTGAAGTGAGAGGATTGCTCGATCCCAGGAGTTTGTGATCAGCCTGGGCAATATAGCGAGATCTCGTCTTGACAAAAAATTGTAAAATTAGCCAGGCATGGTAGCACACGCCTCTAGTCCCAGGTATTTGGGTGGCTGAGGTGGGAGGATCGATTGAGCCTGGAGGTGGAGGCTGCAGTTAGCACCACTGCACTTCTGCCTGGCCTACAGAGTGAGACCCTGTCTCAAAAATGACAACAACAACAATAATAACGCCTACCTTGAAGTGTTGTATTAAAAAGTATATATTAGGGCTGGGTGCGGTGGCTCACACCTGTAATCTTAGCACTTTGGGAGGCCAAGGCGGGCATATCACTTGAGGTCAGGAGTTCGAAACCAGCCTAGCCAACATGGTGAAACCTCGTCTCTACTAAAAATACAAAAAAACATTAGCCTGGCATGGTGGCGGGTGCCTGTAATCCCAGCTACTCAGGAGGCTGAGGCAGGAGAATCGCTTGAACTCCGGAAGGGGAGGTTGCAGTGAGCTGAGATTGCGTCACCGCGCTCTAGCCTCGGTGACAGAGTAAGACTCTGTCTCCAAAAAAAAAAAAATTAAACGCCTGGCTCATAACAAAACTTAATACATGATGCCGTTATGAAAAGGAGGAAGAGAGAGGTGAGGAGAAACAGAAAGAGGAAGAGGGAAGAGAGAAGTTGGGTGGTGAAGCTACAGCCAGCCCCATGTTCTGGGCAGCTCCAGGCAATGCGGGGCCCATGGAAACCTGCCCATCTCTTCACCTGGCTTTCATTCATTTTGACTTCAGGACACTCTTATTCTCCTTAGAAGGGTCAGGGCCAACCTCTACTAATAGACCCCTATGAAAGCTTTCCCTACTGAATGAAGAACTGCAGTAAAAAACAGGTATAAGAGCCTGCCCCAGTATACGCCTCTGGCACTCCTGTGGCTCCACGCCACCAATGCACAGCAGCAGATTTGTCTTTCCGCCTTTTTAACTTTCCAGGCTTGACCAACAGTAGCCTATGCAGAAATGTGCAAGTCACAAGCTGAATCCTTCTTTTGTGAAGGAATTGAGCTGGTGACCTGAGAGAGCTGGGGTGTGTGTGTGTGTGTGTGTGTGTGTGTGTGTGTGTGTGATTTCCAATTGCCTCCAATTTCTCCACATTCTCAACATTTTAACATTCTAGTGAGTGTAAAGTGATATCTCATTGTGGTTTTAGCTTGCATTTTCCTGAAAACTAATAATGGTGGGCACTTTTTCCTGTACTATATAGCTACTTATATATCTCCGAATGTTGATTCACGACTTTTTGCCTATTTAGATAAGCTGGGTTGTTCATCTTTTTATTGCTGATACAAATACATTGTTGGTGGATGTGTAAAATGATACAACTTATTTGGAGAATTGTTTTTCGCAATTAAAAAAATTACACATCTATCCATGCTATGACCTTGCAATTCCATCCACAGTAAATAAAAAGCATATGTCTACACAAAGCCTTATTCGTAAATATTCATAGAAGCTTTATTTGTATTAGGCAATAAGTGGAAATGATCCAAATGTCAGTCAGTTGGTGCACAGATAGACCAACTGGAATACAGCTATGCAATAGAATACCACCTGGCAATAAAAGTGAATTAACTATTGATACGTGCTACAACATGACTGAATCGCTAAAACATTATGATTCCTGAAAGAAGGCAAACACAAAAGAGTATGCACTGTATAATTCTGTATAATTCCACATATGTAAGTTCTACAACAGGGGAAGCTAATTGTGGTGACAGAGGCGGATCAGTTGTTGCTTTCAGGGTAGGGCATGGGGAGAGTAGGAGGGAACCTTCTGGGGCAGTGGAAATACCGTATATATTATTTAGAGTAGGGATTACACTGGGGTATACAGTTGTCGAAAAATCATCAAATGAAGATCTGTGCATTTCATTGTATGTAAATGTTATCTTGTTAAAAACAAAACTGAATTATGCCACAAATTTGAAGTGCTACCACCAGGTGGCACTGATGCGTAATTTCCAAGAGTTCAACTGTAAAGTTTATGCAGTGACTAAGACTCATAAATCATTCTATTTGCAAGTGTTCTCAAAAGCATGTGGCATTGTTTTGTGGGTATTTTTCATTTCAAAAAATAATATTGTGCTGGAGGCCTCCTTCTGTTCCTTTCTTCTTTTTTCCCCCATTCAGCATTGTGGAGTTTTGGCGTTTTTTGCTCTTGTTTATTTGTTTTTTGTAGAGACAGGGTCTCACCATCTTGCTCAGGCTGGTTTCATACTCCTGGGCTCAAGCAACCCTTCTGTCTCAGCCTCCCAAAGTGTTGGGATTACAGGCTTGAGCCACTGCAACTGGACAGAACCATGTTTTAAAGATTTCTTGACCTTTTGTGTGTATCTAATTCATTGCTTGTTACTGTGGTAGAATATTCTGTAGTGTGCTTATGTCACATTTTACTTACATTCATTTCCCCAATGATGAATGCCTCATTGCATCCAGCTCTCCAGCCATCACAAATAACTTGGTGATAAAATATCCTCTTATGGCCAGGCACAGTAGTTCACGCCTATAATCCACCCCCCCCAGACTTTGGAAGGCCGAGGCGGGTGAATCACCTGAGGTCGGGAGTTCGAGACCAGCCTGACCAACATGGAGAAACCCTGTCTCTACTAAAAACACAAAATTAGCCGGGCATGGTGGTGCATACCTATAATCTCAGCTACTTGGGAGGTTGAGGCAGGAGAATCGCTTGAACCCACGAGGTGGAGGTTGCGGTGAGCCGAGATCGCACCATTGCACTTCAGCCTGGGCAACAAGAGCGAAACTTTGTCTCAAAAAAAAAAAAAAATCCTCTTACATGTCTCTTTATGGAGTTGTGTGAGAATCTCTTTAATTATATAGCCAGTAGTGGGATCCTCCCCATCCCTACTCATAATATTTATTTATTTGTAGCATTTTATCCCCTTCTACTTAATACATTTCCTCCAGAATTGGTCATTATCTTGGGTGAAATAAGCCAGTCCCAAAAAGACAAACGTAGCATGTTCTCACATATGTGGGAGCCAAAAAAAATGTGATTACATTGAGGTAAAGAGAGGAAATACGGAGAACAGAGACTGAGAAGAATGAATGGAAGAGATGGGGAAGGATGAAGAGAAGTGGGTTAAAGTGTACAAACAGTTAGATAGAAGGAATACATTCATTGCTTGATAGCAGAGTAGGGTGACTATAGTTAAACAAAAATGTACTGTACTTGGGTGATGGACAGCCTAAATACCTTGACTTGATCACTATGCATTATATATATATGTAACGAGATTTCACATGTACCCCATAAATTTTTACAATTTTTACAAATAAAAAGATGCATCATAAAAAATTTCCTTCAAAATCTTCATGCTAAAAGTTATTAAGTATATTTAAGCAATGTCCTAAACTTTTAAATTAAAGGGAATATTTGCTGTGAATCCTTTTACTTCTCTCTTTGCAAAATAGCAAGTGTTGTTTGAGATGTGTTTTAAATTTACAAAATAGTATTGCTGACTAAGATTTGGATGTCCTTTTTTTTTTTTTTTTCATTCTCAAAGGAGGTGACCAAATTGTTAATCTGGATTTTTTTATACTGAATAAATTTCTCTCAATTTTTTTGTGGTATAGCAACTGAATTTGTGCACCATTGTAAATTGTAAATTAAAGCTGATATTTAAAAACAACTTTTAAGGCAAAGTTTCTCAATGGTGACACTACTGACATTTGGGACCTAATAATTCTTTGTTGTAAGGGGCTGCCCTGTGCCTTGTAGGAGGTTTGGCAGCATCTCTGGCTACTACCCACTAGATGCCAGTAGCACCTCTTTTCAGTTGTGACAACCAAAAATGTCCCCAGACCTTGTCAAATGTCCAATGGGAGACCAAAATTCACTCCAGCTGAGAATGACTGTTTTAAGATAAATGAAGTCTGGGATTCACTGGGGTCTTTTTCTAGATGTTTCCTTTCTTTTAATCAGTTCATTTCAATCCCAATCTCGGCTATAGACTTGTATTACATGGCCCTTTAAAAAAACATCCTCCCCTGCTTTCTAGCTGGAATAAAGCTCCTCCTGGAGACACTTTATCTCCAGATACTTTCTGGAGTCCTTTGTCTTTTAGCAGACTGAGCATCAACAGGCTTCCATGTTCGCTTCTCTCTAGGTTTCCTAACCTCCCCCTCTCAGCCACTGCAGAGGTCAGAGGAGGAAGACAGAGTCAGAATTTCTCCTGTGCTCCCCTCCCAGAGGAACCCAGAAGAGCAGAGAGAGCCCCACAGCAGTGTGATAAGAACTCCAAAGAAGTGGGGCGTGGTGGCTCATACCTGTAATCCCAGCACTTTGGGAAGCCGAGGCAGGCAGATCACCAGAGGTTGAGAGTTTGAGACCAGCCTGGCCAACACGGTGAAACCCCGTCTCTACTAAAAACACAAATTAGCCGGGCGTGGTGGCGGGCTACTTGGGAGGCTGAGGCAGGAGAATTGCTTGAACCCGGGAGGCGGAGGTTGCAGTGAGCCGAGATCGTGTCATTGCACTCCAGCCTGGGTGACAGAGCGAGACTCCATCTTAAAAACAAACAAACGAACAACCACCACCCCCCAAACAAAACAAAATCTCAAAAACAAACAAACAAAAAACCCCCAAAACAAAACAAAACAAAACTCCAAAGTGGGACGACTCAGTCTGTGAAAGAAACATCCTCCTCTGCTTTTCAGTTCTGACATCCCTCTCCCCTCATCAAGTGTCTATTAATTCTCTAGACCTTTGTAACTTAATTATCTCCAAGACTCGAGTGAACACTAGAGTGCTCACTGTGCCCCTCACCTCTGTTCCTCGGCATCCTAGCCCCGCAAGGTGCTTCTCAAGAGGTATTCTCTATGGTCAACGAAGTGAGCGAAATGCTGCTCACTGGATCTCTCTCTGGGACACTGGCACTGACCACTAGTTTATTAAAGGCTGTGAGAAGCTTTTCAGGAGTCTATTTTTCATCCAGCATTTCTTGGATTAAGTGATTACAAAAGCTTCCCACTTCCCCCACCACATTTAACAAATATCTGTTAACATCCCTCTGAATTGGTGTCAGAATTGGTGTCCCAGGGAACACGGTTTAGGAAATGTCTTAAATATTAACAACCTTCCAGCCTGGCCAACATGGGGAAATCCCGTCTCTACTAAAAATACAAAAAAATTAGCCAGGCATGGTGGTGCGTGCCTGTAGTCCCAGCTACTCAGGAGGCTGAGGCAGAAGAATTGCTTGAACCTGGGAGGCGGAGGTTGCAGTGAGCTGAGATTGTGCCACTGTACTACAGCCTGGGTGACACAGTGACACTCCATCTCAAAATATATATGTACATATTAATAACCTATACCTTTTGCAAATCACCTTCAAATGCCATTAATTTGTTCATTAATTTGCTCAAACAAACTGCTGAGCATCCTCCATGCTAGGGAGTACGGCTACAAAGACTACGTGTCCCAGTAGCCCCCAGACTAGTCAGGGAGCAGATGTGGGCAGACTGTGCTGGCACCTGGGACAACGGCTGAGCCAGGTGTTCAGGAAATGATGGATGAAGTGATTAATTCTGACATCAGCACTCTGATAATCTTCACAGAACAAGCAAGACCTCATCTGAGCCTAGAAATAAGCCTGGGTCCCTTCCATCTTTGCAGTATCAGGAGCTTGTTAGAAATGCAGAATGTCCTGACCTAGAACTCCCAAATCAGGACTTAGGCTGTGGCAAGATCCCTGGGTGATCCTTATGCGCATTCACGTTTGAGAGGCGCTGACTTAAAATAGCGGGCTTTCTGACAAGAATGTAAACAGAACCAAAATATACTTCTGTGTGGGGTATTGGTCAAAGGCTGACCTAGTGGGCTCCATACTAGGCCAGGCAGACAGAATACAAAGATAGGGTATAGAAAGACTGGTAGTGGCAACAAGTGAAGTGTCTTCTCTCCTGTCCTGGCCCTCACCTAACAAGGACTGTGATTCAGCAGGTTAGACTGCAGATATGCAGTGTGGAGGGAGCAAGGACAGGCAACGAGGCCACCCCTGTGGTCCCTTCTGCCTAGATGTCTGCCGTGACTGGCTCAGTGTAATGGGTATGGCTCGGAGGAAGGGAGCAGGGCATGAGGGAAGGATGCTTCCCATTACCCTCATCTAGAGACACCACCTCTGCTGTGGACCAGGTAAGTGACAGGCCACAGGGGCTCGGAGCCCAGGGCTCTGTGTGAAGAATTTTTGGCCTCTTCCTCTTCCTCTTGATCTTCAACACTGGTCACAAGAGGAAGCGCAGGGAGGGTTCAGGGCAGCCTGACCCTTCAGGAAGCAGACACATTTAGGGCCAGTGTGCCTGGAGGGTTCAGGGCGGCCTGACCTATCAGGAAGCACACACAATACCCTTGCCTGGGACTGGACCTGGGCCCAGACCTGGGCCCTGCTGGCCTCGGTGAGACTGTGGGCAGGTTGGGCCTTGGGAAGGGACCTTGGGAAGGGGCCTTGGTGAGGACCTAAGAGAAGCCCCTTCTCACAGACTTGGGCCTGTGATGGGTAGAGAGTGGCTAGCCCAGGTGGGGAGTAACTACGAGGGAAGGAAACTGAAAACCGCAACATCAATAACCACAGCACAACAAAACTAAATATAAAGAGATCCCAACACCCACCTGACAGCAGTTTCCCTGCCCCTGCCTCTGGAAGACGGTCTGTGTGCGAAGCATCCCCCAGCAGGGACCATATGTGTGTGCCCTCCAGAGTCCAGAGAAGGTGAGGTGAGCTCCCAATGCCCAGGATCATCAGGATGTAGACTTCTTGCTATTCTACCTAAACAAATAAATCAGACAGGAATCTCGCTAGTAGAGATGGCATTTCACATAGAGGGGAGGGCCCAAGGAAAGGCCCAAAGGCAGGACCACACTCATCCGGATAGGAAGACAAATGTCAACGTATACGTCTCTCTCCTATCCTGATTGAGCTGGCACTACTGTGTTTTCCAGTCTGAGGACACCAGTCACAACCTGTGCATATCACGGTGATAGAGTCACGTGGTTGCTCCTCAAGAACTGGGCTAGTTTGGACTCAACTTGTCTTCCAGCAGCCCACTGCACAGTGGCCCAACCTGGCCTCAGCTGGAAGACTAAGTACTCCCCATATCTCTACAACAGTTGCTCAGGACAATTCAGCTGGATCCACTGAAGCAGTCCCACTCCTAGAGGCAGCCCTCATCAGAAGGGTCTCTGCCTCCTGCTTTCTGAAGGGTTAACTCCAAGAGTCAACCAGGCCAAGGCATATCTGGAGACAGATTCCTTGGTTGGGACTTGCCAGGGTCAGTCTCATTTGTTTCTGATAACGTGAGCATAACATAATGTGTGTGTTTTCTTAAAAAACAACATAAGGCTAGGTGTGGTGGCTCAGGCCTGTAATCCCAGCACTTTTGGAGGCTGAGGTGGATGGATCACTTGAGGCCAGGAGTTTGAGACAAGCCTGACCAATGTGGTGAAACCCCGTCTCTACTAAAAATACAAAAATTAGCTGGGCGTGGTGGTGTGCACCTGTAATGCCAGCTACTCAGGAGACTGAGGCAGGAGAATTGCTTGAACCCGGGAGGTGGAGGTGGCAGTGAGCCGAGATCTCACCACTGCACTCCAGCCAGGGTGACAGAGTGAGACCCTGCCTCAAAAAGAAAAAAAAATAAAGCAAAAATAAAAAACAAAATAAGCAGGTTGGTGTTCCATGTAAGTCTGAAAGTCTGAATCTGCTAAGGAGTGTGTAACAATTGACCTGCCAAAAAAAAAAAAAAAACCGGAAAGGAAAAAGAGGCTGGGCATAGTGGCTCACACTTGTAATCACTTTGGGAGGCTGAAGTGTGCGGATCGCTTGAGCCCAAGAGTTTGCCACCAGCCTGGGCAATATAGGGAGACCCATCTCTACAAAATATATTTTAAAAAATTAGCCACATGTATTGGCATGCACCTGTGGTCCCAACTACTTGGGAGGCTAAGTTGGGAGGATTGTTTGAGTCTGGGAGGTCGAGGCTGCAGTGAGCTGTTATCACACCACTGCACTCCAGCCTGGGCAACAGAACAAGACCCTCTCTCATTAAAAAAAATGGAAGAAAAGAAAAATTATAATTACGAAAGTAATTCATGTTCATTACAGAAAAATTAGAAAATACAGAAAAATATAAGGAAAAAAATCCTGCCCCTAATTCCACCATCTAAAGGCATCTCTTTATACATTTTGGTGAATTTCTTACAAGTTTTTTTCCTACGCATATTTGTGTACATATTTAACATAGTTGACAGATCATAATGACCATACGTTTCATGCCCTACTTTTTCACTTAGCAGTACGTTATAAGCTTTTACTCATTAACGTTTGCTGTAATCATAATTAAATATTCCATCCTATAATCCTCTAAATTAGTTAGTCACATCCCTGAGAGTGGTGACAGATTTATATCACACTTCGACTAAGAATGTGCAGAGAAACTGTGATTTCTATATTCTTTCTCCCTAACTGATGTAGTCTTCTTCACAATGTCCCACCCACTGGTTAATAGGGAAAAATGACAACGGGCCTAACTAAAGAAAAATCTGAAGCAATAACCTAAATAGCCTGTATTTAAGGCTTTTGTTTTTCTTTTTTATTTTTATTTGTATTTTTTTAGATGGAGTCTCACTCTATCGCCCAGGCTGGAGTGCAGTGGCACGATCTCGGCTTACTGCAACCTCTGCCTCCAGGGTTTAAGCGATTCTCCTGCTTCAGCTTCCTGAGGAGCTGGGACTACAGTGCCTGCCACCACACCCTGCTAAGTTTTTGTATTTTTAGTAGAGACGGGGTTTCACCATGTTGGTCAGGCTGGTCTCGAACTCCTGACCTTGTGATCTGCCCGCCTCAGCCTCCCAAAGTGCTGGGATTACAGGCTTGAGCCACCACGCCTGGCAAAGGCTTTTGTTTTTCTATGTAATCCAATTTTGTATGTCAGAAGCCTCAGTATTTCTCTTCGTATTTTTTCTGTAGTAAATTCTAATCCCTGCCCTCCCTTTTTCCCCATGGATGCTATATTAGCCAGGGTCTCGGCAGAAAACAGATGGGTTACTCAGTGTGGTCATTGAAGGGTTTAATGAAGACATTGTTTATGAAAGTGCCAGCAAGGCTAAGGTAGTGAATAAGAAATGACAAAACACTCAGGGACTAGAAATGTGGGAGAGCATCGCTACCCTGAGGCCCAAAGGAGCAACAATACAGACTGCAGCGATGGGTGAGGGACAGCTCGAAAGGAATTTAGGTGGAGAAATGCAGTCGTTTCTTACCTGTGGTCTGGCAGAGGGGGAGCTAGGGCAATAAATACCCTGGCATATCTCTCCTCCTGCCCTCACGTTCTTTCCAGTACCTCCCATTTGCAGAACTGAAATGGAAGGCAGAGAGGTAAGTATATTCCGCAGAAAGGTGGCCTCCCAGTGCACAAAGCAGAGTGGAAAATGGTGGACCATGGATCTGAAGAAGCAGGTGGAAAATAACCAGCCCATGAGATTTGTGCTGAAGGGGAAAAGACAAAAGAAACAAGAACATTAGTACATTTCAAAATGCAGTACTATTCTCATTGCATATCTATGATTGAGCTTTTAAGTTATTTCTCATTTTCAGTTTTATAAATAATATTGTCTCAAAAGGGGACGTCTTTCAAACTCTAAAGGTTCCAATGAAATGAATACACAGTGAGAGGAGGCGCAGTATCTCCCAGAGTCAGATTGTATTAGATAAGGATCCTTTGGTTGTGAATTATAGAAACACACTAGAAGGCCCAGCATGGTGGCTCACACCTGTAAACCTAGCACTTTGGGAGGCCGAGGCGGTCTGATTGCCCGAGCTCACGATTTCGAGACCAGCCTGGGCAACATGGTGAAACCCCATCTCTACTAAAAATACAAAAAATTAGCCAGGCGTGGTGGCACACGCCTGTAGTCCCAGCTATTCGGGAGGCTGAAACATGAGAATTACTTGAACCCGGGAGGGCGGAGGTTGCAGTGAGCCAAGATCGCTCTGCACTCTAGTGGGGTGACAGAGCGAGACTGTCTCAAAAAAGAATTATTAACTATCTGTAACGGGGATTGGAGTAGTGAAGGATTGGCCAGTAGGAAGTAAAGAGAATTTTAAAGAGTATGGGAATAACAACTAGAAGGAGCAGTTACTACCTCTAGGGCTGAGATATCCCATCCAAGACAGAAACCAATCCCCAATCCCCACCCCAAGGGCTGAGATCCAGACATTGTTGGAGCAGGTATGGCTGTGGTTCACTGGATTGTAAAGAAGTCCATGTGGCGCTGTGTTGATGGAACTTGCTGGAAATCTACCCTCTGGGATTCTTGGGAGGTGTCTGTCAGAGTCACTCCTATAAAACTACCTGTAGTAGGGAGTGCCAGGGGAAGCTGCTGCTGGCCTTTGGTTGATGCTGGCCACCATGCATGGTAGGAGCCAGACCCTGGAGAAGCCATCTGTCTTTGCGGGAACCTGATGCTAAAGAAGTTGCTTGCACTGCAGACGCTGGATACTGGAGAGGTTTATCTATAGAACCCAGGTGTTGCATGCTGAAACATGCAGGGGATCCGCTAAGCAGAGCACACCAGAATAACGAAAAAAGAAAAATTTCTTTCTCCTATAATGTCTCTCTAGTGCCCTTTACTAACAAAGTTTAACCTTTGTCAGCTGACAAAGGAAAAATATTAAGACTGTCCAGCTACATTTTTGCAGAGCAGGGAATGAAGTTTGAGTTTGGCACTGAGAGGCAATAGATTGATAAGTAGCACAATCCCAAGTCCATATCCCCAGAGAAGGGACTATGACTGGGCCAGCTGGACCTGCCAGTGCCCCCTCTCAATTGCTCAGTTACCTTTGCTAGGAATGGAATTGATTAATAAAAAGAGAAGCAGTGAACATGGAAAAGCAGGTGCAGGAAAGTAAACTGGTCAGCTAGCCGCCTACACACTCCAGAGGAGAGAGACACTTTGTCAGGAGAAACAAGCAATTTAGTCACAGAGAACTTGTCTCTCCTATCAATCAGGGACATTTCCCCAGGTCTCATCATGATTTGAAAAAGTACTCCTCAAGCCTGTCCATTTCCTTTTATTCAAACACGCTGCTCACCAAGAAACCTTCTGATTTTTCTTCCTGTCTACCCTAGTACCAGCTGGAGAATAGATATTGGGCAGTGGATATACATACTATGCTGTTTGCAAAAGGATGTCATCCACTGTGCTCTAATAAATTGGTATTTGATGGCTACAGCAGCCTTGGATGGTATTAGTGAGAGTAAGTCTGTCCCCAAGGGACCACTCTTCTCTACTACACTAAGAAAATCCAGTTTCTGACCCAGAGAAGCTGAGAACCAGGTTTTGGACTTGAGAGACTCAACCAAGGCACTTTCCTGAAGGATCTGGAGACTGCACCCTATACAACAGCCTGCTAGCACATTCCCCAGGGAAGAACCCTGCAGAACCCATAAGTGGGCATTGATAAAGAATATTCTAAGGCCAGGCATGGTGGCTCATGCCTATAATCTCAGCACTTTGGGAGGCTGAGGTGGGAGAATTGCTTGAGCCCAGGAGTTCAAGACCAGCCTGGGCCACAGAGGAAAATCTTATCTCTACAAAAAATAAAAAATTATCTGTGATGGTATATACCCTTAGTCCCAGCTACTGGGAAGGCTGAGGCAGAAGGGTCCCTTGAGTTTGGGAGGTCAAGGCTGCAATGATCCGTGATTGTGCCATTGCACTTCAGCCTTGGTGACAGAGTGAGACTCTGTCTCAAAAAAAAAAAAAAGAGTATTCTATAAATGTCTAACCAATAGCCATTTTCTGATTGCTGGACTTTAAGGCTATTTCCAGCCTTTGGCTATTACATACAACACAGAGATGAACATCTTTGTGATTAGTGTTCATGATTAGTATTCTTTTTGCTATTTTGTTTTTTGTATTTCAAATGTTCCCTTAGGATGGATGATCAGAATTAGGGATAAATTGATATCATATCCTTTCCTCCTATATTTTTTGGGGAAAAGTAAGAACATTTCAGAGACACTTGAGACCTACTGCCCAAGGATTTCAGAAGCCTATTACCAATTACAGTCACATGAGAAACCATTTCAGGACATCCTGACACACATAGAGTCTTACAGTGTAAAATGTGTGTATGTGTGTATACATATATACATGGAGACATATACAATCTTTCTTTATTTGCATTTCTTTCATTACTTTTAGGGTTAGATATTCATGCCCATATTTGTTAATTCCTTGCCCTCTTTTAGGAATTGTCTATTCAGGCCGTTCACAATTAAGAAGTATTTTATTTCAATCTCTGGGGACTGTCATGTCCCAGATTCTTTATCTTGCCCTCTTTTGAATAGAGAGGGGCTCTGTTCCCATCTTCAAGCCCTTTGGAAATTCTCATCTGAATTCAAGCTCCTTTGACATAGAACTGGGCTTGGGTAGCTAAGAGCTTTGATGAGACTGGAAACAAGTGTATGGGAGTCTTAAAGCATGCAAAGCCAGGTGAGCGTTCATCCTCCAGTGGGGAATGCAAAGGCAGATGAGCGTTCATCCGCAGGTGAGGAATGCAAAGCCAGGTGAGCATTCATTTTCAGGCAGAGATTGTTTAAAGGGAAGAGAGTGGTCTGTGTATAATTTTCTTTTCTCTGTTCATTTTTAAAAAGATCCCAGAGGGACCCTGGGTGTTTTTTTTAACTCTTTATTGTGACTCAAACTGGGTCTCTAAATAAACTCCTCTTAGGAGGCCTAAGACACATATCTAGAAAAAATGTGTCATTTAAAGTGCTTTTTTGAAGTCATGTGATGAATTATCAGAGCAAGAATCTCCTCACTGCCCACTGAGCTCTGTACCTTCTTTGGCTCAGATGTAGGAAAGAAACTTTCTTTTCTTCCTCTCTCTATCCCTTTATCCCTTCTAAGACTGACACAGAGAGCATGGCTTGCCCTGAGAAACCTGTACCCCAGGTGATCAGTAGATGGCAAGCGCAAGGCAATTACGTTTGTCGACGTAAGTGTGGTGTGGCATGTGTGGGAGTACAGGAGGTGACAGCAATTCATTCACGTGTGGAGTAGGGCTTAGCAATGGTAATCAAGGGGCTTTTTGGGGAGGAGAGGCCATTGGTGGTCACCTTAAATGATGGACATGGTTTGGAAATATAGTAAAGGAATCAGCTAAGTTCCTATCAGTTTCTACTCTTGTCTCACTGGTACCACCAGGAATCCTGGTTGTCAGTGTTGCTGCTGGAGACAGTCACCCATCCCTCCGTTACCTATCCATCATCCATTCATGCAAGTATGCACTCATACAGCCACCTGATGTTTCCTTTATTTATTTGCTCATTCTTCCCATGATCCCTCCATCTTTCCATTCATTCTTTCACTAGCTACCAAGGCCCTACTCTGTGCAGCATGCTGAGGGCACAAATATTGACAAGATTCTACATTTCAAGAAGTACACAGTCTGGTGGTTAGCTGGACAACTTAAACCTAGGTAACAATACAGTGCAATAAACACACCTTATAGAAGTTTGTTTACAGTACTGGATGTCTGCCTGTATAAACGTCCCCTTCCCAAAAAGGTCTTACCTGACCACATAATCTGAAATAGGTTCTTGATATTATTCTTTCTTGTAATATTCTTTTCTTTCAGATCAATTATCACAGTTTGTTATTATGTACTTTTTTTTTTTTTTTGAGACAGAGTCTTGCTCTGTCGCCCATGCTGGAGTGCAATGGCGCTATCTCAGCTCACTGTAACCTCCGCCTCCTGGGTTCAAGTGATTCTCCTGCCTCAACCTCCTGAGCAGCTGGGATTACAAGTGCATGCCACCACACCCAGCTAATTTTTTTGTATTTCTAGTAGAGACGGGGTTTCACCATGTTGGTCAGGCTGGTTTCGAACTCCTGACCTCGTGATCCGCCCGCCTCGGCCTCCCAAAGTATTATGTACTTCTTTTTTGAGATAGAGTCTTACTCTGTCACCCAGGCTGGAGTGTAAGTGCTGTCTCAGTACACCTCTGCCTCCTGAGCTCAAGCTATCCTCCCACCTCAGCCTCCTAAGTAGCAAGGACTCCAAGTGTGTGCTACCATGCTTGGCTAATTTTTAAATTTTTTGTAGAGACGAGGTGTCACTATATTGCCCAGGCTGGTCTCAAACTCCTGGGCTCAAGCAAGCCTCTGTCTCTACCTCCCAAAGTGCTGGGATTACAGGCATGAGCCACCACTCCTGGCCTGTTATTATATACTTAATGGTATTTTTATTTGCTTAATATGTCTTCCATAGTTGACTGGAAGCTCCATAGAGGCAAGTCCTATGTGGGCAAGTTCAATGTGGGCTTTGCTTACCATTGAACACTCAACACCTGGTCCATGTCTGGCACATAGCAGGCCCTCAGTAGACATTCACTGAATAAATTAATAAGTAAGCACTGACCATACTGAGGGTTGAGAATTTCTTGTGGTAAATCAGTGGTTCTCAAAGTGTGATCCTTGGACCAGCAGGATCAACAATACATGGGAACTTGTTAGAAGTGAACATTCTTTTTTATTTTTTGAGATGGAGTCTCACTCTGTTGCCCAGGCTAGAGTGCAGTGGCGCTATCTCGGCTCACTGCAACCTCTGCCTCCTGGGTTCAAGCGATTCTCCTGCCTCAGCCTCCTGAGTAGCTGGGCTTACAGGCACCCGCCACCACATCCGGCTAATTTTTGCATTTTTAGTAGAGGTGGGGTTTCACTATGTTGGCCAGACTGGTCTCGAACTCCTGACCTCAAGTGATCCACCCGCCTCAGCCTCCCAAAGTGCTGGGATTTACAGGTGTGAGCCACTGCGCCCAGCCAGAAGTGAACATTCTTGACCCCACTACAGGTCAGAACTGAAATCAGAAATCTGGGGTTGGATCCCAGTAATCTGTGTTTTAACAAGACTCCCAGGTCATTCTGATGCACACTAAAGTTTGAGAATACTTACTAGATTAATAAATGGTCATTCTAATGTATCTTAGACACCTAGATTTGAACACAGAGGCAAGAATAATTTTATCAGAATTGGGGAATACTTCATGGAGAAGGTGATATTTTAAGGAAATTTCCAGCTAGATAAATCATGGAAAGGCAATTCAAACAGAGAACTGTATACCCAAAGGCATGTAGTCATGGATTAGCATGGCCTTTGGAGGGATCTATAAGTGATTCTATGGGAAGGTCCATGCATGGCGGGAAATGGTCTGAGATGAAATAAAGATGAAGACATAGGCAGGGGTTTTGGACGTCAGTTGTTAAGCGGGGAGATAACATGCATCGGATTACTCCACTTTACAGCTGGAGGAATCCTGCTCCCAGGCTGAAGTGTAGTGGTACACTACCGCTAGAGAAATTCCTCCACCCTACAGCAAAAGCCTGTCCTGAGCAAACTTCCCTGGGCTCACTTTCCTTTTCCTGCTTTTCCTCCTCCCTTCTTCTGCTGCTCCCTCTTCTTCTCTCCTCCCCTATGGGTGAGACAGCCCAGCTGCTGGGGGCTAACCCTACCCTTCCCCAACCTGGCCTAACTGCTGATGTCAGCTCTGTCCAGGCTGTTCGCAGCTCTGGAGCCAAGCCTGGCCCAGCCCCCTGCTTTAGTGGGAAACTTGAGATGCTGGTATGCTCAGAGGGAACACTGTAGATCTACCTAGTAGGAGGGTTAATCTGGGATTTCCAGGGCTCTAGAGAAATAGTCCTTTCCCCTGGAGACTTCCTGCTCCCAGAGAGGGGGCAGCAGCATCAGGGCCAGGGTTTCTTGGGACCCAGGCTTGCATCACTCAGTGCCACCCTCCCCAGGGGAACAGGCTCCAAGCTGTGCCTGCTCCTCTCTGGTGACTCACAACACGACTGATCTCCAAGATCTAAACCTGATTGTGCCTGGAAGTGAAGAAGGGTGATAACACCCTTAATAAAAATAGATACTATGCAGTGAACACTTAGTGCTTGCTCTAGGTGGAGCTATGAGTCACCTACACCTGTAGTTCTCAGTGTTATGTGATCCAGTGCCCCTTTCTTATAATAAATACTTTACAACACCACCTTTAGCATACGTAGATAATATAACCAAACTACATCATGATTTCATAAAATTAGGCCATAAATGTCACAGTGAAGGTGAGGTGAAATAAAAGAAACATATAGGCCAGGCATGGTTGCTCACGCCTATAATCCCAGCACTTTGGGAGGCTGAGGCAGGCGGATCACTTGAGGTCAGGAGTTCGTGACCAGTCGGCCAACATGGTGAAACCCTGTCTCTACTGAAAATATAAAAATTAGCTGGGCATGGTGGTGCATGCCTGTAATCCCAGCTACTTGGGAGGCTGAGGCAGGAGAATCGTTTGAACCTGGAAGGCGAAAGTTGCAGTCAGCCGAGATCATGCCACTGCACTCCAGCCTGGGTGACAGAGCAAGACGCCATCTCAAAAAAAAAAAAAAGAAAAGAAAAGAAAAGAAAAATGTATAGCACAAGGTTGTATACTTCAACATGTAAATGCTTGGACAGACCCCTCCTAGAAGATATAGTAGTCATATGCTTGTACCTTACACAGAATCCCTGTGAATGTGCAACAGTTACAAGTGCCAACTGATACAGGTCTGTTACATGACTGGCTCAAATACCACCAGTCCCATTCCCATTCAACTATGATTTACTGCAAGAGAACTCTCTTACTAGAGTTCTAAATAAGAGTCCAATCTTCCCTTGATTTACATGGTGGGCTACTATCAGTTTTGTTTGTCCCTCCAGATACGTGCTCCTTCCCTTTCTACTCTGCTGCCAGCCCTGGGAGCCTGACCCACCAACCATGTTCACGCCCTCTGGTTTATGAGAGCCCTGGTAGGAGATGGACCGAGGGAAGAAAGGAAGATTGGGACATTTATTTCTCTGGCTACCTCCTTGGCTATATACCTCAAACTGCTGCTATATATCACTGCTGCTCTCAAGATGGCTGATATGGTTTGGATCTGTGTCCCCACCCAAATCTCATGTCGAATTGTAATCCCCAATGTTGAAGGTGGGGCCTGGTGGGAGGTGATTGGATCATGGGGATGGATTTCTCATGCATGCTTTAACACCATCCTCTTGGTATTGTTCTAAAAATAGTGAGTTCTCATGAGATTTGGTGGTTTAAAAGTGTGTGTCACCTTTCCCCTCTCTCTCTTGCTCCTGCTCTGGCCATGTGACGTGCCTGCTTATGTAACACACTGTATCAGTCTGCACTTGTAACTGTTGCACAGTCACGAAGATTCTGTGTAAGGTACAAGCTTATGACTACTTATTATATCTTCTAGCAGGGGTCTGTCCAAGCATTTACATGTTGAAATATACATCCTTGTGTTAAACATTTATTTTAATTCACCTTTACATTAATTGTGACATATTATGGCCTAATTTTATGAAGCCATGATGTACTTTGGTTATATTACCTATGTAGGCTAAAGGTGGTGTCGCAAAATATTTATTATAAGAAAGGGGCTTTAGATCACATAACATTGAGAATTACAGGTGTAGGTGACTCATAGCTCCACCCAGAGGTGGAAACAGAGGATCACTTGAGTCCAGGAATTTGAGACCAGCCTGGGCAATATAGTTACACCTCATCTCTACAAAATTGTAAGTTTCCTGAGGCCTCCTCAGAAGCCAAGCAAATGCTAGCGTCATGCTTCCTGTACAGCCTGCAGAACTGTGAGTCAATTAAACCTCTTTTCTTTATAAATTACCCAGTCTTAGGTATTTCTTTATAGCAATGTGAGAACAGACTAATACAGTGGCCATGGTGGATTGAATGGGGGCCCCCAAAAAGATATGCCCACGTTTTGACTCCCAGAACCTGTGAACATGACCTTATTTGGAGAAAGGATCTTTGCTGATGTAATTCAGGATCTCAAGATAAGATCGTGCTGTATGATCTGGGTGGGCCCTGAATCTAATCACAAGTATCTTTATAAGAGACAGAAGAGAAATCAGAGAAGAAGAGATGGCTGCATGAGGATGGAGGCACAGATTGGAGTTATGCAGCCACAAGCCAAGGAGCCCTTGGAAGCTGGAAGAGCAGGATTCTTCCCTGGGGCCTTTGAAAGGAATGTGACCTTGCTTTGATTTTAAACTTTTGGCCTCTGGAAATTTGAGAATCTTTTTTCTGTTTTAAGTCACCAAGTTTGCAGTAATTTGTTATGGCAGCCCTAGGAAATGAACACTTTCTGCAACACTCCGCCCACTCTGCAACATACACTCTTCTTCCAGGTTCTAGTAATCTCCCACCCCTCACTCCCTGGGCATAGTGGTGGTGATAGCTCTGCTCCTGCCAGACCTGGGTTTCTGCCATATCCCTTCTGTCTTCCCCATCCTTGTCCACACCCTTGGATATTCCTGGACTATTTAATATATCTTAAAACCACACAGCTGGGTGTGGCAGCATGCACCTGTAATTCTAGATAATCAGGAGGCTGAGACAGGAAGATTGCTTGAGCCCAGGAGTGCAAGACCAGCCGGGGAAACACAGAGAGACCTCATTGCAATTAAAAAGTAAGAATCAATAAATTAAAAGTCAATTAAAGCCACACAACAATATTTTGTGATTATATGTAAGAGTTAGGTTCTAGGCTCATGTAATTGTAATGTCAGACAAATGAATGATGAACCATATGAAAGGTGTGGGGAACAAGCAACAATTTATCATTGTGTGGGAGTGCCCTGTCACAGTACCTCTAGCATCCCTAGCCAGAAGGGTTCCACAATCATCATTACAACTAAAAATGGCCCTACAAACTTCCAATCCCCTGTCCTCAGAGAGTGGCATCATCTTATTGTGAACCATTGATTATATAATATCTCGTTTAATCCTTACAACCACATTTTGACATGGGTACCATCTCTACAGATGCAGAAACAGTCTTAAAGAGGTCAAGAAACCTGCTTAGGTCTGTCTGAGGTGGACCTGGAGTTCAGACTCAGTTCTGAGGAGACCTAAGGTCTGTGTTTCTAATTGCAAAACTGTACTTTGGGTCTTTGTCAGGGGAGAAGGTGGTGAGGGCTGGGGCAGATACAGTGCTGTGGGAGATCAAGTCTAACTCTTTGTGGAGAAGAGGGGCTCCATCAGAGATGTGCTAGTCTGGGTATGCTAGGCTATGTATAAGAACTTATAGCCTCAAAATCTTAGTGGCTTAAGAGTAAAGATTGATTACTTGCTTCAGCAAAATCCAATGCAGATCTTGATAGGGAACTCTCTCCTGGGTGAAATCAGAGATTTGGCCTTCTTCCATTAGGAGGTTTCACCATTCTCAGACCCTTTTGCTTCCAGCCTCACAGGTGGAGGAGATAGTGTGTAGAATTTTTTTTTTTTTTTAAGATGGAGTCTCGCTCTGTCACCCGGGCTAGAGTACAGTGGCACGATCTTGGCTCACTTCAACCTCCACCTCCCCAGTTCAAGCGATTCTTCTGCCTCAACCTCCGGAATAGCTGGGATTATAAGCGTCTGTCATCACGCCCAGCTAATTTTTTGTGTTTTTAGTAGAGACAGGGTTTCACCATGTTGGCCATGGCTGGTCTCGAACTCCTGACCTCAGGTGATCCACCCGCCTTGGCCTCCCAAAGTGCTGGGATTACAGGCATGAGCCACTGCACCCAGCTTAAGTGTGTAGAATATTTCATGGCCAAATGTGAAAGTGGTATGCATCTCTTCCACCTCCTTCCATTGGCAGAACTCAGTCACACAACATACCTACATGCAAGGGATCCTGGGAAACGTAGTCTATATCTGTTGAACACAGCATTGTCTCTGCAGAAGAGATGTTAAACTCATCCAGTCCCTATAGCTGGAGCATAAAGAAGGGAAGCTTAAGTTCAAGTGTTTTCTTTGCTATTTATCTATTGCTATGGTTTGAAGGTGTCCCCCAAGTTTATGTGTTGGAAACTTAATACCCAATGCAACAGTGTTGGAGATGGGGCTGAATAAGAGGTGATTAGGTTGTGGAGGCTCTGCCCTAATGAATGAATTAATGTCATTATCTCAGGAGTGGATTAGTTCTTGAGAGATTGGGTCTGTAAGAAAAGTGAGTTCAGCACACTTTTGCACTCTTGCTTTCACCCCTCTTGCCTTTCCACCTTTCATGAGGGGATGATGCAGCATGAAGGCCCTCACCAGATGCCAACACCTTGATATTGGACTTCCCAGCCTCCTGAACTGTGAGAAATAAATTTCTTTATAAACTACCCAGCCTGAGATGTTCTGTTATAGCAATACATAATGAACTGAGACATCTGTTAAATGACCATGCTCATGTCCTGCCCCCTTTAAGGACCTCAGTTTCCTCATTTGTCAGATGGTTATGGAGGCCCATCCCTCACAGCTGCATGATGACCAGATGTAAGAGGAGTAGGGTGCTAGTTGAAGGAAATCATGAAGAGAGCTGCCCCCACCTGAGGTCTGTCCTTGTCCAACAGCTCTCCTGACTCCACTGTCACCTTCTGCAGGCAGTAAAGCCCAGCAAGATCTCTTGGATCTTGAGGAGGCCAGGCTGCCTCTTCCTCCCTGTGAAGTCTCAAGCACCCATGGTATCTCTAAATACTGGCATTATTGGGGGAAAATGGTTCAGGGGAGTAAACAAAGAATCGGATTAGAAACTATCAGAGGCCTCTGGCAAGGGCCCTCAAGACCCATTGGAGGTGCTAGGGATCCAGGCATCAATCTAAGGAAATGCTAGAGCTATGGTCAAGGAGCCAGTGCTGGGGCAGGGATGAGTGATGCTCGCTCCAATGGACACCCATTTTTTTTGTCTTCCTAAAACCTCTTTTCCAGGAAACAACTCTCCCATACCCAAACCACAAGGTTGTAGTGGGAGCTGCCATGTTTCTACAATATGACCCTGACCCTTTGTCACTTGATTGGTCCAGGGTCAGGCACCTGAGCCATGCTGGAATATTGAAGAAAGAGAGAACAGAGAGCTATATTAACTCCCCTCCAGCTGATTGGCCCAACAACATATAACAGTTAGGTGCTCTTGGCAGCCATATTTTCCTTACTATATAGGAGTAACAAGCAGAAGAATCTGGTTTTATGAGAGAGAATGACAAACAGAAAGATTCCCAGTGGCATTTGAGTTTCTAGTTCTACTCCATTCCTGAGGCTAGGCTATAATCTAGTCCCTTGTCTCTATGAGATGTTCCAGTATCATTATAAATAAGTTCCCCTTCTTGATTAAACTAGTTTAGGTAGATTTTTGTTAATTACAATCCAAAGATCGCTAAGAAATAGTATGAACTTTATTATAAGATATATTTATTCATTCAGAAAATATTTGTGGAGCAACTACTGTGTTCTGGGTACAGTACAAAATGCTTGAAATTCACTGATGAATAGGATAGACATGGTATCTCCCCTCAGGGACCTTCTACTTGGAGGTAGAATAAAAGACTGGGGCAGGAACAGATCTCAAACAAGTAAATTTCAAGGGTTTTTTTGTTTTTGTTTTTTGAGACAAGGTCTCGCACTGTCACCTAGGCTGGAATACAGTGACACAAACATGGATCACTGCAAATTCGATCCCCTGGGCTCAAGCAATCCTCCCGCCTCAGCCTCTCAAGTAGCTAGGATTACAGGTGTGTACCACCACACCCAGCTAATTTTTTAATTTTTTTTGTAGAGACAGGATACCACTATGTTTCCCAAGCTGATCTTGAACTCCTGGGCTCAAGCAATCCTCCTGCCTCAGCCTCTCAAAGTGCTAGGATTACAGGCGTAAGCCACCACACCTGACCAAATTCCAGGTTTATGAGAACATGTAACAAGGTTATGAGAACATATGAGCTTTGGCCAGGTGAGGTGGCTCATGCCTGTAATCCCAGCACTTTGGGAGGCCGAGGCGGGCAGATCATGAGGTCAGGAGATCGAGACCATGCTGGCTAACATGGTGAAACCCCATTTCTACTAAAAATACAAAAAATTAGCCAGGCATCGTGGTGGGCGCCTGTAGTCCCAGCTACTTGGGAGGCTGAGGCAGGAGAATGGCATGAACCCGGGAGGCAGAGCTTGCAGTGAGCCGAGATTGCGCCACTGCACTCCAGCCCGGGCGACAGAGCAAGAGAAAAAAAAGAAAAAAGAACCTATGAGCTAAGAACTGAGGACTGAGTGGGAGTTGCGTAGAAGGAGCTGGGAATTCAGATGTAGAGTGAGGGGAGCATCCCATATAGGAAGAAGAGCATGAGTGATGATAACTCCATCATTAAGCCAGCATCTTTTGAAGAGAGAGCAATACTTCAGCTGAGTTGGGCCAGCTGAGAGTCCTGGTTTCTCACATTACCCAACTTTGGGCCCTCAGCTAATACATCAGTGAAAGACATTTTCTTTTTCCCCAGAAGCAGCCCAGCAGAGACCACTCCATCCTGTCCTGACTCTTTTCCTTGTTGAGCCATTACATAAGGAGAAATACGAAACACTTCCAGAAAGGCCTTGGCACACTGAACATGATTTGTATATCAATCTCTCCCTTTCATTCATGCTCCTGTCATTCATGCCATAGGAAGAATGCTAGTTTTCTTCCTTATAGCCACTATCCCACCTTCCTTACTCCTATATTGGGGGCAGCAATGTGCCTAGTCTTAGCTAAGACTACATTTTCCTTGCAGATAGGGATGGCTAATGAGAAGTAAGGGGAAGTGATTGGGTGGCGTTTTGAGAAAGCTGTATAAAGGAGGCTAACTTAGCTAGCAAGTACCACTTCATCTTTCCCCCCATCATTCTTCCTTTACCTCCCTGGGACATGGACTTGATGGGTGAGGCCCTAGCAGTCATTTTTTATCCGTGAGGTGATCTTAAGGAGTAAAGTCATGTGCCACAGATAGCAGAGCAGAAGACAAAATAATTCTAATCTGGAGACCTTGTAGATAGAGTCCCCATACCTGCCTGGCCTTTCCTAGGAGAAAACTAAGACCCTGTCTTATTTAGACCACTGTTGACTTGGATCTCTCTTAGTAGCAGCTGAGCAAAATTCTTCACTGATATAACCTCAAAATCCTCTTATAATCCAGTTTCTCTCCACCAAATAGCCCCAAGTCATTCATTCATTCATCAATTCACTGATTGATAACTATTCCATATTCTAGAATCAGATGAGATTATGTGGGTATAAAAGCATGTTGTAAATACCAAAGCATTAAACACATGTTACACTGTGCTATAATTTTCATTAATATTATGACTTATTGTTACTCCAGTATCATAATCAAGGAGATTTTAGTAAGTAGTATGCAATTTGCTGGGGGGAAACTCCTGTTAGTGGTGTGAATTATTGAAACCAGTGCTATTTGATGTCATAAATTAAAGAAGAAAGGGGTGATCTAGTACAAGCACGTCTCAAAGTTTAGTATGCACAGAGAAAAACTTGGGAATCTTGTTAAAATGCCGATTCAGATTCAGAGAGGGTCTGTGGTGGGCCCTGAGATTCTGCATTTCTAAAAAGGTCCTAAGTGATACTGCTTGCCCTGAACCTTTGAATAGCAGGGACCTAGGAGACCTTCCAGGTGCTGGGGAAGAAAATGATAAGAGAAGAGAAAGGTAAGCCGAAAGCAGAGAGGAGAGAATTTCTGAAAATGGGAAACAAGAAGTTATTCTGAAGCTTTACCTTCAAGCAGGTTAGTAACTTAATAAAAGTCAAGAACTGTGCATGCATAATTTCATTTAATTTTTTACAATTTTAGGTAAAAGGAAATATAAGCCTTGTTTTACAATTGAGAAAGTGGAAACTCAAAGAAGTTAAAAATATACCCATAGGAGTCAGGTACAGTGGGCTCACGCCGATAGTCCCAGCCACACAGGAGGCTGACGCAGGAGGATCACTTGAGCCCAGGAGTTCATGACACCCACCTGGGCAACGTGGTGAGATCTTGTCTCAAAAAAAAGAACCCAAAGTCAGCAGTGGCAGGGATAGGATCAGCCCCAAGCTTTTCAGTGTCCAGAGTGTGTATTTTTTCCTAAGCACCTTGAGGGAAGCTTGCTCCTTTTGCTGAATTCTTCCTCCTCATCCAGGACATATTGGTCAGAGGAGGGCAAGACCATTGTAGGGTACCAGACCTACTGCTATTTGAATCTGCTTGGCTCAACTCTTATCAATCCTGAAGGCTTTCTGTGGCTGCTATATTTTGATTTAAAACACTGGAAGCTGGGTTTTGATGGGGCCCCAGGAGTGGGGAGCAGGAGAGGTTTCTGAGGGATGCTTATAAGTTTTTTGAGACACTTTCTGTGTTGTAAGCCCAGTATCACTTGCAGAGGCTGCCATATTCCAGAGTAGCAAGAGCACATCCTGGAGATGGGGAGCTGCCAAGGTGAGAGCAACCCCTGCTTGGGCTCAGACATGGGACCCTCACTTTCTCCTTGGATACATGAGACCATTGAGGGGCTAATAAAACCTGAGATTCGTCCCAGCAATTGGCAGACTGGCAAGTGCCAGGCCCTCGTGAGGACCCTCACTTCTTCCCAAGATAGGAGATAAATGGACACTTTATGTCCCCGCAAAGGGTCAGCCACTCAGGGAGGATCCTCTGTGATTGGCTGCTGGTTCTGCTCCCCACAGCTCTGGTGTAAATCTGGGCCATTTCCTTCTCCAGTTTCCCCCATGTGATTCGCCTTTGGCTAATCTCACTACCGTGGGGAGCTGGGAAAACTTCCCTGCACAATAAATCTTTGATTGGGAAGGTGGTTTTATCATTTGAGAGGAAAGAAAGTTGAAGAAGGAGAGGACGTAAGTGACTAGTGTGTTCAGGGAGTGATGTAAGGGATGTGAAAAGGCAGGGAGGGGTTCCCAGCTGAGCACAAGGTGACAAGAAACGGATAAACCTGGGACTGCAGGGCGGGGTTGAGGAGGTGCCAAGGGGAAGAATCCCAGAGGCACATCAGGAAAGCTAGCCAGGGGCCTGAGTGCAGAAAAGGGCGAAAGAGCTTTCAGATAGAAGAGAAACCAACACACATACTGTGGTTCCCTTTCCTCCCCAGAGGACAAACTGTGGTCTGCTTTGACGTCAGCTATGCAGATGTGCTGAGGCTGTTCGGCATGTTGGTTCCAGGCCTGGGATGCAGCCGGCAGCACCAGAGGCGGGGAGGGAGGGGACACTAGGGGCAGCCTCTCGCTGAAGGATGCCCAGAGGCACCCCAGTGTGGAGCAGCCCAACGGGAAGGACTTAACAGCATCTACTCTGGCTGAGCCTAAATCATCCTCCAGCCTCCTTTATTCCAGGTTCCCACTATCCCCTTGTTTCTGAGACAGCATCAGCATTTCCAGGGCTATGAAGGCCACAGCCACCAGATGGGCTGCAACACTGAATGACATTGGATATCCCAGGCCACCCTTGCTCTGTCTGCCCTGGTCCTAAAAGTAGAGAAAAGCCAGGAAAACCCTCCATGGAGCCCACAGCCTTCACTGTCTCCTGATCACCATGTCATGCTGCTCAAAGTGGTTGACAGTACTTGCTCCCTCTACTTTCTCGATTCTCATTCTCCCAGCAGTCTCTAGTCTAGCTTCTGCCCTGCCCCTTCTACTGAAACTGCTCTTGCTAATGTCATCAACAGTCTAGGGCCAAATCCAGGGGCCACTTCTCAGGCCTTACTTTTTCTATCAGCTATTGCCTGTTGATTATACTCTTTTTTTTTTTGGAGACAAAGTCTAGCTCTGTTGCTCAGGCTGGTATGCAGTGGTGTGATCACGGCTCACTGCAGCCTTGTCCTCTTGGGCTCAAGCGATCCCGCCTCAGCCTCCTGAGTAGCTGGGACTATAGGCATGTGCCAGCATGCCTTTCTAATTTTTTTTTTTTTTCTAGTAGAGATGGGGTTTTGCCGTGTTGCCTAGTCTGGTCTTGAACTCTTGGACTCAAGCAATCCACCCGCCTCCATCTCCCAAAATGTTGGGATTACAGGCGTGAGCCATTGCACCTGGCCTCAGGTTCTTCCTAACTCAAAGCTCTGCCAACTCCTAGGGTGTAGCCCTCAACCTCCTAGTCTAAGACGGTACCATCTCATGCTCCAAACAGCACAATGGAGGGAGGAAAAAAGATGAATGTAAAGGACATGATCCTACTTTCTCTCAAAGATTCCTAGAAGCTGCTATGTGACATTTCCACTTTTTGTTTTTTTTTCTGAGTCGTAGTCTCACTCTGTTGCCAAGGCTGGAGTGCAGTGGTATGATCTCAGCTCACTGCAACCTCTGCCTTTCAGGTTCACGCCATTCTCCTGCCTCAGCCTCCGGAGTAGCTGGGATTACAAACATGTGCCACCATGCCTGGCTAATTTTTTGTATTTTTAGTAGAGACGGGGTTTCACTGTGTTAGCCAGGATGGTCTTGATCTCCTGACCTCATGATCTGCCCGCCTTGGCCTCCCAAAGTGCTGGGACATTTCCACTTTTATATTATTGACCCAAACTCAGTCACATGGTCATATCTATCTGCAGAGAGGCTGGGAAATGTAGTCCTTATTTAGCTAAAAATTGGATTACCATGAATGAGGGGGAGAAAAGATACGGAGGGATATAAAGAAGCTCATGTCAGAGCTTCCATGACACCACCAATGGTGGATTCTACGGACTGGTTCACATAACATCCCTTCCCATCTCCTTCCAGTACATTACAGCTGGGATGTCACACTTCCTACACTCCATTGCAGCTGGCAATCCAAATGAGCTTAGGAATTATCATTCTATAAACTTGCATGTAACTTGAACCTGAAACTAAGTTAACTGGAGAGAGAGGATGCAGGTAGGGCATTCATTTTGCTGATGTGGATTGTGGCAGATTGATTTTGTAGTCCCCAATCAGTACTGGTTTCTGGCCCAGTAGCTTCCTGTGGCAGGAGTGGTGGCAGGTTCTTTCATGATCAGTGATGGCAGAACCGTGATGATTCTTAGGGTTTACAATTATTTCTGGAAGCTCCATTTTAAGTCTACCCCTCCAGCCCTGCTAGTAATGTTGTAAGACAGAACTTTTCAAACTTTAATGTTCATATGAATGGCCTGAAAAATCTAGATAAAACGCAGATTTTGATTCAGTAGATCTGCCATGACATATAAGATTTTACATCTCTAACAAGCTCTAGGGTAATGCCTGATCGGGAAGATGGATTTCTTAGTAACTCAAGCCTGGGGTGTCCTCTGCTCACCTATACCTGGTCATAAATTCCTTTCTACTTTAACTATTGTATTAGTCAGTGTTCTCCAGAGAGACAGAATCAATATATATCAATATCTACTGTATCTGTGTCTGTATCTATAGAGAGAAACTGTCAATGGAAAAAAAAAAACTCTGTAATATATACTATGTTTTAAAGAGGTTTATTTTGAACCAGTATGAGTGACTGCAGCCTGGGGAAAATACAAACCCAGAGCCTCGAGTACGTGCTCCCAAGGCAGTCACAATGCAACTCTGTTTTATACATTTTGGGGAAGCAGAAGTTACAGGCAAAGTCATAAATCAATACATGGAGATTATACTTTGGTTTGGCCCAAAAGGGTGGGACATCTTGAAGTGGGGGCTTGCAGGTCATAAGTAGATTGAGAGATTCTTTAATTTGCAATTGGGTAAAGGAGTAAGGCTTTGTCTAAAATCTTGGAGTCAGCATGAAGGAATGTTTAGGTTTAATTTTAACATACATTAGTTAAGAAATCTGCTAACCATCATGGGATGCTATGCCAGAGTCGGGCTGCAAGAGCAAGACATGATACACTGGGTCAGGGTGACCTGTACGGTCTCTTATTCCTACAAACAGTCCATTCTGTCAGCCTTATGGTCTCAATTTTAATATTAATGCTGATCAGTTGTTCTGTCTACATTGCAAAAGAGAGGGGGTATAACGAGGCTTGTCTGACCTGTCCTGTCATGACTGGGAACTCCATTTTTAAGGTTTTTCTGGGGTCCCGTTGGACAAGAGGGGATCTGTTCAGTGGGCTGGGGGGTTTAGGGTTGTATTTTTAGTTTACATTGACATATGAGAGGAGCATCATTCGGGGGATTGTCTCATGTGATTACGGAGGCTGAGAAGTCCTGCCACAAGCTGTCTGCGAGCTGGAGAACCAGGGAAGCTGTTGGTGTGGCTGAGTCCAAATCCAAAGGCCTCAGAACCAGGCAAGCTGAAGGCATAATTCCCAGTCTAAGGCCAAAGGCCTGAGAACCCAGGGGCCTCTGGTGTTAAGTCCTGGAATCAAAAGGCTGGGGAGCCCAGAGTTGTTGTCCAAGGAGAGGAGAGGAAGAGTGTACCCCAGTTCCAGCAGATAGATGAACACATTCACCTTTTCTCTGTTTTTGTTCTCTCTGGATTCTCAGCAGATTGGATGCTGTCCCCCCACCTTAAGGGTGGATCTTCTCCACAGAATTCACTCAGAATCACACACTTACACATCCCAAAATAATGCTTTACCAGATTTCTAGGAATTTTTTTTTTTTTTTTTTTTTTTGAGACAGAGTCTCAGTCTGTCGCCCAGGCTGGAGTGCGGTGGCGCGATCTCGGCTCACTGCAAGCTCCGCCTCCCGGGTTCACACCATTCTCCTGCCTCAGCCTCCTGAGCAGCTGGGACTACAGGCTCCCGCCACCGTGCCTGGCTAATTTTTTTTGTATTTTTAGTAGAGACGGGGTTTCACCACATTAGCCAGGATGATCTCAGTCTCCTGACCTCGTGATCCACTCGCCTCAGCCTCCCAAAGTGCTGGGATTACAGGCGTGAGCCACGGCGCCCAGCCTCTAGGAATTTTTTAATCCAGTCAAGTTGACACCTAAAATTAACTGTCATTACTACCTAGTGATGGTTCCTGATTCTCCTAATTCTACAATGGTTTCTTCCCTTTCTCTCTTCAGGGATCTTCTTCCTATGTTTGTCCCTTAAATATTGATGTATGCCAGGACTCAAGCTTAGGATCATTGTAGAAACTCTTCCAGGATGATCTCCTTTATTCTCCTGGCTTTAATCACTATTAATCTCAAATTCATATCTATAATCTATCCTCTTTCCTAAGCCCCAAATTCCAGTATTCATAGCTGACCAGAACTGAGTTCTACAGATGAGCAGTGCGTGAAAGAAAGGTTCTGTGGTCAAATAAGCTTGGGAAATGCTGGATCAAATAAAATGAAACTGGTTTCCTTGCTGAGGTACTTCTAGAACTGTTAAATGTGCTAATATGCATTGCGGATTTCTAAGAGGCGGCATGTAGTACCTAGTGTTTCTTAATTTTGTTTGACATTTATGTTGGACACATTCTACGTGTTTTCATAGGTTCTCTTAGCCTGCCTAAGTCCTGGATCCTAGCCTTTTGCATTTCCTTAACTGTTGCCACTGCAGCCAACTCTGGAGTTCTGTGGCCAGCCAGCTGCTGCCAGGAGCCGCTGGCTCCTCCAAGCATCTTGCATCATTTCCCAGCCCTCCCTTTTATATCACTCTTGAGGCTCTGGATTTGTGCCTTCATTAAAAACATCAGCATATAACCATTGCCCCAGGCTTTGTTTTCTAGGGAAACTGAACGACCCTCAACGGTCCCCCACCTTTTTTCCTGGGATATTAATATTTCCTGGAACTAAGGTTCCTAGAACGTAGTTTAGAACTATATTTCCCTGTATGCACCTTAGATTCAGCATGCCCAACAATGAATTGCAGTAGTCCGTTCTCACACTGCTATAAACAAATACCTGAGACTGAGTAATTTATAAAGGAAAGAGGTATAATTGACTCACAGTTCCACATGGCTGAGGAGGCCTCAGGAAACTTACAATCGTGGCGGAAGGTGAAGGGGAAGCAAGGGCCTTCTTTACATGGTGGCAGGAGAGAGAAGTGCAAGCAGGGGAAATGCCAGATGCTTAGAAAACCATTAGATCTCATGAGAACTCACTATCATGAGAATAGCATGGGGGAAACTGCTCCCATTATCCAATCACCTCCCTCCCACCACATATAGGAACTATGGGGATTAAAATTCCAGACGAGATTTGGGTGGGGAAACAGCCAAACCATATCATAAATCAATCCTGGGTTCCCACCATTTTCTAATGTGGCCAATTCACAAAGTTGCATTACCTATCTGGCTCTGGAAGGCACTTGCCTAAGTGACCCTTGGTTTAGAACTTGAGGTCTCAGAGAGTGTCTTCATTGTTTTACCATCTTAGCCCCAGAACTATTCTGAGAGACAGAACAAGTATGTTCCTATTTCACTGACAAGGAAACAGTAAAAAGGGATTGGCCTGGATGACACAGTTGGAAGTAGTGGAGCCAGGGCTCTAACCCAAGTTTCCAGCCTCCCAGTCCTGGCCTTGTACACTGATCAGGCCTGTGTCTTCACGTCCCCAACACTAAAAGGACACAGTGGGCTTTCATGGCCCTCCCTTTGCCCCCATTTTCCTGGCTAGATCTTCAGAGTAGCAAATGCTAGCACTCTTGAGTTTTAGAGACTTTTAAAAACAGGCACATTTCCGAGGGAAAATCTTTGCACATGTTTTTCCCAGAAAGAAGAAAGTGTAATAATTTGTTGTCTGAACTAAGGACATTATGGTTTTGAGCTTGGCCAAACTTTCCTTCTTCAGGTGTGAAAAAAAAAAAGAGTAAATGGAACTAGATGTGTGGAGCAAACTTCGCAACCTTTGGGGGAAGGTCTACACTTAGGGGTTAAGCTTCTTTCCAGATTCCCTGCTTGGAGAAGCTGCCTTCATAGAGGGCAGTGGTTCTTAAACTTTCCTTTTGGTTACTTACTTGAGAATTGACTAATTGTTGTGAATCCTCTTCCTAGAAAAATTCACTTACAAATGTGAGGGAATAAAACAAAGTTGCTTGGTATTTCCTTTATGTTTGGTATTCTGAAATTTGATCATAGTTAATCTGGGTGTAAGTCTTTTTTGTTTTGTTTTGTTTATTCTTCTTGGTCTACAGTGGGTCATTTCAATGTGAAAGCTTTTGTGTTTTTTCACCTCCAGAAAATATTCCATTATTTATTTCTTTATTTTTCCTCCTCCATTTCCTCTGTTTCCTTATGCTGGAATTCCTGTTAAATAGTATGATAGAACTTCTGGATTCATCCTCCATACTTCCTAATTTTTCTTTTATACTTCTCACCTCTGTTCTTTCTAACTGCATTTTATGAGAATTTTTTTTTTTTTTTTTGAGACAGGCTAGAGTGTAGTGGTGCAATCTTGGCTCACTGCAACCTCCACCTCCTGGGTTCAAGTAATTCTCATGCCTCAGCCTCCCAAGTAGCTGGGGTTACAGGCATGCACCACCATGCCTGGCTAATTTTAATTTTTAGTAGAGACGGTTTTGCCATGTTGGCCAGGCCGGTCTCGAACTTCCGGCCTCAGGTGATCTGCCCGCCTCAAACTCCCAAAGTGCAGGGATTACAGGCGTGAGCCAACACCTGGCCGTTTTTTATTCTCCTGAATTTCTTAGCTGCTTGATCTTTCAACTCTATTATTCACTCTTCAGCTGTATCTATTTTGTTATTAAGCCCATTAAATTTTTATTTGGGAAACTGAATTCTAAATCGATCTTTAGTTCATTCCATTTTTTAATTTATTTTGAGATAGGATCTCGCTCTGTGGCCTAGGCTGAAGTGCAGTGGCAAGATCAGAGCTCACTGCAACCTCGAACTCCTGGGCTCAAGTGATCCTTCCACCTCAGCCTCCTGACTAGCTGGAACTACAGGCACACACCACCACACCCAGATAATTTTTAAATTTTTTGTAGAGATGGAATCTTGCTATGTTGCCCAGGCCGGTCTCAAACTCCCAGACTCAAGCAATCCTCCTACCTTGGCCTCCCAAAGTGCTAGGATTACAGGCATGAGCTACCATGCCTGGCCTAATTCCTTTTAGCAAATGAAATATCTTTTCACGTATCTTGTTGAGATATTAATTATGCTTAATCTAAAGACTTGCTCTGCTAGTACTCATTAATTCTCATTCTTAGGTGTTTGTTTTTCAGATGGCAGTGTAAGGAACTAAAATTAATTTTTTCCTCAACTCTCATAAATTCTTAGTTGGAATGAACCCCTATAAGAAAAGACAGATTAATGAGAGAAAAACAAACAAGTGTATTAGCATGTATATTTTGTATATACATCTGAAATACCCAGGGAATGAACAGGCCTCAAAGAGGTGGCTTGGAATTCCAGTTCATATAGCATCTTCAACAAAGAACAGTAAATTTTTAGAGAAGTGGCAAGACAAGGGAAAAGGGCATTGAACTTCTAAGGGCTGCAAATTGTGGGACGGCAAATAAGTGTCAGTTACAGGCTATTTAGTAGAGCTTGCTACGTAGATTCCTTTGGTGCCATCTCCAGGCTGTTAAGCTCTAAAGTTGTCTCTGGTGGTTAACTTTTGTCTTTCCTGACAGAGAGGGTAGGAAGACACCTTTGTCTTTGTAAATCTTCTTCTCTAGTGCCTTCAACTCAAAATAATCCTTACATCAGAGTGGCATGTTTTGGGGATGGCATATTCTGGTTTCCCACAGTGGATTTTTAATTTTTTATTTTTGAGACAGGGTCTCACTCTGTCGCCCAGACTGGAGTGCAGTGGTGAGACTGTGGCTCACTGCAGTCTCAAACTCCTGAGCTCAAGTGACCCTTCTACTTCAGCCTCCTGAATAGCTGAGACTACAGGTGTGTGCCACCACACCTAGCTAATAAAAACAAAATTTTGTAAAAATGGGGTCTCCCTATGTTGCCTAGGCTGGTTGCAAACTCCTGGGCTCAAGCGATCCTCCCACCTTGGCCTCCCAAAGTACTGGGATTATAAATGTGAGCTACTGCACCTGGCCTACAGATGGATTTTGATGGCTCTGTTTCATAGTGTTAATTTTACCCAACTGTTTAGTAACTCTAGATATTTGTGTTTTTTGTTTTTGTTTTTCTTTTTGAGACGGAGTAACGCTTCATTGCCAGGCTGGAGTGCAGTTGTGCGATCTTGGCTCACCGCAACCTCCGCCTCCCGGGTTCAAGCATTTCTCCTGCCTCAGTCTCCCGAGTAGCTGGGACTACTGGCGCATGCCACCAAGCCCGGCTATTTTTTTTTTTTTTTTTTTTTTTTTTTGATACGGAGTCTAGCTCTGTCGCCCAGGCTGGAGTGCAGTGGCATGATTTTGGCTCACTGCAAGCTCCGCCTCCCGGGTTCAAGTGATTCTCCTGCCTCAGCCTCCCGAGTAGCTGGGACTACAGGCACCCGCCACCACGCCCAGCTAATTTTTTGTAGTTTTAATAGAGACGGGGTTTCTCCGTGTTAGCCAGGACGGTCTCGATATCCTGTCCTCGTGATCCGCCTGCCTCGGCCTCCCAGAGTGCTGGGATTACAGGGAGGAGCCACCACGCCCGGCCCCAGCTAATTTTTTGTATTTTTTTTTTTTTTTTTTTTTAGTAGAGACGGGTTTCACTGTGTTAGCCAGGATGGTCTGAATCTCCTGACCTCGTGATCCGCCCACCTCGGCCTCCCAAAGTACTGGGATTACAGGCGTGAGCCACCGTGCCCAATCTGTTTGATCATTTTTAAATTGTGCATTTTTTTTTTTTTTTGAGACAGGGTCTCACTCTGTCACCCAGGCTGGAGTGCAGTGACATAATCATGGCTCACTGCAGCCTTGACGTCCCAGGCTCAAGTAAGTGACCCTCCCATCTTAGCCTCCCAAAGTGCTGGAATTACAGGTAGGAGGTATTACAATAATGCTGGGATTACAGGTATGAGTCACTGTATGAATCTAGTGCATTCTTGTTCTTGTCTGTTCTGTTTCCGGAGCCTGAATGTCATAATTTTGTGGGAGCTGCTGGGCCAGTGGCGTGCCCATAATCCCAGCTACTAAGGAAGCTGAGACAGGAGGATCACTTGAGCTCAGGAGTTTGAGATCAACCTGGACAACATAGTGAGATACTGTCTCTAAACAGAAAAAGGAAAAGGAAAAAAAAAAGAAAGTAATTTTGTGGGAAGAAGAATGTGTTGATTGGACGTATACATGGGGCACGTATGTCAGGAAGAAGAGAATCCATCATGTCTTTCAGCACACCCAGTTTCTTACTCCAGTGGGGATAGTTGCTACCTGGGGCATTCACTGGTTTGGTGCGGAGAAAATCTCCACTGCAGCTGGCTGATTAGTACAAGTGTCAGAAGTAAGGGGACAGTTGGCACAAATACTCTAGATACAGTTGCTCAATTAAGCACCCCAAGGAGTAGCCCAAGGCCCTCTTTTCTTTGTATCAAACAACTCTGACATTAGGGTAGAGTTCTTTCTTAACTCTATTTCTATTTTTGCACTTTTGAAATAGTCTTCTGGTGCAGGACTTTTTTTGCACTACTATCAATCTTTTCCTTCTTACCTGCCTTGGTGTTAAACTTAAAATGATCTGTATTCTCCCTCCTTTCCAAAATTATAAATTTCCTATTTTCTTATTTTACTATTTTTATGATTTCATGTTTTACATTCAAATCTTTAAGCCATCTGGAATTTATTCTAGTGTCAGCCATGACTTGGGGCCCTAACTTAATTTTTTCTAATGGTGAGTCACTTGTACCCACCATGTATTCCATGTGTGGGCTTTCAAAATGCAGCTCAACCCTAAGAGCTCCATAAAAGCCTAGGAGTTAAGAATAGAAACGCTAGGACTATAATTCATTCGGCTCCTAATTTCTGCTCCATTACTGCTCACTTTAGGACTCTGGCAAATCTCAGTGCTCCTTAGGGAAAAAGCTCTGACCAATGATTTAAGGCTGGGAAGGCTGAGGCAGAGAGAAGGATTTGCAGAGAACCCTCTAGAGGAGCTTCATAGTTGCTGTGTTCCAGCCACTGGGCATGGCCTTGTGGGAAACAGTGGTTCAGCCTTACAAGAAGCTGCAGGGGACTCAAGCTCTACTCTATAACTGCGTTTTCTTTCTTCAGCCCCAAGTCTTTTTCCTACTCACTCAAAGTCCTGCTCCAAGCCAGTGAGGCTTAGATACTCCTCTTCCTGGGTCCCCACTGCATTTTTGCATGTTTCTCTAAAGCTATTTTTGTAATTGTTGACATGTCTGTCATGGATTAATGAATTAGTTGATAAAGTTATCAGGCATGAAGGGTGCCATCTGCCAGGTGCAGGAGGAAAAACACACCAAAGGATATGGAGTTGCTGCTGCCTCTGTAGACCCCCTGGGGGGGTCATGGCACAGTGGTGCCACCATGCCCAGCTAATTTTTGTACACTTTTGTAGAGCAGGGTTTCACCATGTTTCCCAGGCTGGTATCAAACTCCTGGGCTCAACCATTCCACCCACCTCAGCCTCCCAAAGTGCTGGGGTTACAGGCCAGAGCCACCAAGCCCGACTTTGAAGTTTAATATATTTTAATTCAATCTACCTTATAAATTAACAAATCAAGTCATCTATATCCTTATTTACTGTATGGTTTACTGATGAGTCGTGGGCTAAGAGAAATGAATTAAAATTTCCTTCTATTATTATATTTCTGTTTCTCCATGTAGTTCCCATTTTTTGCTTTATAAATTCTGTTGCTATATTTTATGCATAAAAATGCATGACATCTTCATCGTAGCTTTCAGCCTTTATCATTACAAGGTGTTCTTCTGTGTCTTGTTTTCTGATTTTTCTTTTTTTTTGGTGAATTCAACCATGTCTGATATTAACATTGTAACCTCTGTTTTCTTTTTCTTTTCTTTTTTTTCTTTTTTTTTTTTTTGAGACAGTTTTGCTCTTGTTGCCCAGGCTGGAGTGTAATGGTGCGATCTTGGCTCACTGCAACCTCCACCCTCCACCTCCCGGGTTCAAGTAATTCTCCTGCCTCAGTCTCCCGAGTAGCTGGGATTATAGGCGTGCGCCACCACGCCCAGCTAATTTTGTATTTTTAGTAGAGACGGGGTTTCTCCATGTTGGTCAGGCTGGTCTTGAATTCCCAACCTCAGGTGATCTGCCC